>NT_167244.2:1023823-1224018 GCF_000001405.40 Homo sapiens
GGCCAATGACCCCAGTCAGAAGAGGTGAAGGGTGAGAGAGGAGGCTGCTGGGAACCAGAAGCTTGGCAGCCAGGAAGACTGAGAACAATCAGGCTGACAGTAGAGGCTGTTCACTCTAAGCCCCAGGGTGCGGGGGAGGGTCCTTTACACCAGGGAGCTTCAGGTCTCGTGACTGTTTCTGGGCTCTGTACTCTCCTGATCCTCCATGAGGATTTTAAACAGTGAGATAAGGTATCCAGGGCCCCAGGAATCTGAATTACCTTTACCAAAGAGATCATTCTTCCATTTCATTTCTTATAAGATATGAAATATTAAATCAAACTAATACAGGATTAATGTGAAGCTAGCAGGTGTTTTGTGGATGGATTCCCCTGGCTGTTTATACTGGGGGAAGAAACAGGCCTGGCCCCATTCACAGATGAGAACAACAGGGTAGCCATACTCAGAGGACCTCAATACTGGGTGCTCCCAACCCTGCAGGAAAGACCCTCCCTGCAAACAGATGTACAGGAGGGTGACTGCAGGATCCCATGCTGTCTCTTTCTCCTCTCCTGAATCCTGGGTTTACCTTCCTAATTTCAGCTAAGTAGCTATATTAACCAGTTATTTAAGACTCACAGGGCCCCTCTCTACCATGGCACCTAACAGGGTCTTCTCTCCTCAAAAGAACTTCAGGAGGGGTCTACTCAATAAAAAGCAGCATGGAAGGGGCGGTAGGGGCAGCTCATCTCTAACTCCTGAAATAGACAGGATGGAGCCACCGTCTCATTCCTCACTTATCCTATGGTCCTGCCTCAAATACAGTCTCCTGCAGGCTCTGCTGGGTCTTTTTATTATCATTCTCCAGGTGGTGACCGGGTCCCTGATGCTGATGTGGTGCTCACAGCTTCCTGAAATATGACCCTTGGGGCCCAACACCAACAGGAGTTGAGGCCGGGGAGAAGCTTCAAGCTGTAGGGGATCTTTGGATTTGAAAGTAGGGGTTGGTCACGGGCTGTCTGTAATGCTCAGGGTGTCAAGGCTGAGAGTGGCTGAGCTGAATCTGCTCATTAGCATGTTCTCCACTGTTTGAGAGCTGCCTTGTGCAGACCAGCAAGACACAGATTGTTCACAGCTCCCCTTGTCTCTTGGAAGACCCTGACTTCTCTTTCCCCAGCTGTGCAGCTGATGAGCTCTATCTCCTCCCAAGCATAGCAAGGGGAGGATGGTGGGAGTGAGGCCCACTCCTCTGATGCCCCAGAACCCCTTCCACGTAATCTCAATATCCAGGCCTGGTGTATCTCCCTGGACCATCATTTCTTTTCTGGGAATGAAAGGGTTACAATATCTCCCTCCTAGATTTCCCTTGTCACTCACTCACCCTGAATAGACTTCTTACTCTATTAGTTATTGTTCTCATATCATTTCTTTGAAGCTGTGGTAAAATATTATCAGCCATTAATAAAACATGGAGGTTAGGTTCTCTTTTTGGATTCTGAGGATCTGCTGTGCTGGGGCAGGGGCAGGTGGGGAGAGAAGGGCGGGTGGAGGGCCAGGTGCTGAGTGGTGTGTGGCCTCGCTCTGTGCTCAACAAAGCTCCTGCTGTGGTCATTTCCTGTTTATTTGTCTGGATCTCTCCTTGCATTGTGATTGGTGCCTGGTCTTTAGGGGTGGGTGCTGCTCCAGGTCGGAGGCCTCACACAACTCCAGGCTGAGCCTTTCTTCAAGTCCATGGAGGTCAAGGGCAGATACTGGCAGCTCTCCATCCTGCCCTCGCCTCCACTTTATCTGGCATATTTTTATATGTTGATCTGATCCTCCTCATAAGGGATGTATATGAGCATTATTTTGTAGGAGAGCCGCTATGTCCCACAGTGGCCATGCTCTGTCCCTGACACCAGGATCCTGTGTGCTTTGTTGTTGTCGTCCCCTAAAGACCCAGGACAGCCTCTGCACATGGGGCTTCTCAGATGACACAGATTGATCGTTCCCACCTCTGCCTTCTTTCCTGTTCCATTTCCAGAATGCTTCTATTGTTTCCCTTTTATTGTAGTAAGTCAAATTTTTGAATTAAGGCCTGGGCACACTCACTCACGCCTGTAATCTTAGCACTTTGGGAAGGCTAAGGCAAAGGGATTGCTTGAGGCCAGTAGTTAAAGACCAACCTCGGCAACATAACAAGACCCAGTCTCTTCCAAAACAAATTGAATTCGCATTGTGAATAGATATGTTATTGCCATGTCATAAATAAATTCTTGTCCCTTTTTCTGTGGGAGCACCCTGTGGTCTGGGTCCTGGCAGGAAAGATATGGCACAGAAGGAAGACACGTTTTAAAGAGGTTCTGGCAGGGCTAAGAAAGTCACAAGGGGCACTGAAGCTCCCTGGGATGATCTGTAGCAGGAAATGGTTTGCATTTCTGAGCTTGAAAGAGCAAGGAAGGGAGCAGTTTCTAGAACTCAGGCAAATCTGTAGCTTTCACTAGGGGCAGCCCGCCATGCCTATGGCTGTAGATAGAGGCCTGAAGTGATTACAGAATCACAGAGCTGCCCAGAGTAAGTGAGGGAAATGAAAACCCTGAGTTACTCCTCCTCCCACACTCCCATCTCCTGCAGGTGCCTGTTATCATCCACACCCAAGCACAAGCCAGATGGTGAAGGAGCACAGGCCATGTCGTCTGTCTGTCATAGTTGCCTCCCAGTGTAGGGGGCAGGATGGAAGAGAGTGGATGATGGCTCTGTGAGGAGATGGAAGCTGAGAATAATGCACTTGCTTACAGTGTTCACATTCTTCATGGAATTTACTTAAATACACTAGCATTTTCTCTAATCCAAAATTATACCTTTAAAAAGCAACGTTTCGGCCAGGCATGATGACTCACGCCTGTAATCCCAGTACTTTGGGAGGCCGAGGCGGGTGGATCACCTGAGGTCAGGAGTTCGAGACTAGCCTGGCCAAAGTGGTGAAACCCTGTCTCCACTAAAAATGCAAAAATTAGCTGGGCATGATGGTGGGCGCCTGTAACCTCAGCTACTTGAGAGGCTGAGGTAAGAGAATTGCTTCAACCCAGTAGGCAGAGGCTGCAGTGAGCCAAAATCATGCCACTGCACTCCAGCCTGAGTGACAGAGTGAGACTCCGTCTCAAAAAAAAAAAAAAAATCATGTATATATGCTTAGCAGGTAGTAACATTGAAGAGTACCTAACTCTCCTTCCCTATCTCCACATGGGACGTATAACTCATAAATAAATACCTTAAATTATTTGAGTATAAGCCATAAAAGCAGAGTCTGGCTCATATAAGCAAAAGGAAGTTGCTGGGCAGCTGTGGGTGAGGTTCACAGAATCATAGATGCTTCCAAAGTACCAGGACAGCACCAAGGAGCAGGCAGCAAGCCCTGACCAGTCTCACTGGACTCACCTGTGGAGTGGGAGAATTGTCACTGTTTCCTGATATCTTGTCATTGCTGAGCTTTAAATTCTGGAATAGTTTACTTAAATGGCTTAGTTTGGATCTCATAAATTTCTTATTTGCTTGTGATTTAATTTCAGGGATAGAGTCAATATTTGAATTTGACTCTATCCCTAAAAATGAATTCAATTTTGAAGTTGAATCCAAATTCCATTTCAAGGATAGAGTCAATAGGAATAGAGTCAATGTTTTCCCTTAATGGGAGCTCCTTTTCTCCATTTATCTTCTTAAAGCAGGGGGAAGGGGATGAGTCTTTCAAGTTCCCATGGACCCATGGACATCATGAGATCAACCTAATTGCCCTCATTCCATTTTCCTTTACTTTGCAGAAAAGAAACAAATTCCTTTCCACCCAAAATATGACAGCGCCTGTGGTCCAGGGCTGGAGCCCATAGTGGATGCCCAGCAGCCAACTTCCTGGAATTGAGACCTCCCCAGCAGGCTTGGGGGTGAAAAGAGAAACTAGACTCCAAAAGGGACACCAGTGCTCTGTTGGGGAGAGAGGAGCACACCACTGCATCCCACCCTGAAGAATGGGAGTGAGAAGAGAGGACAGGTGAACCCACCATGGCTCCAGTGAGATGGGAGCGGGGAACGCCCAAGAAGGAGGACAGCCATGGGGTGGCCCCAGCCAAAGCCACCAGACATCATTACATGTCTGGGGCCCTCTCAGGCCGACATGAGTTTTACTGCTCCACACACTGTTTTGTTAAGAGCTAGCTGTCAGTAGATCAGTGAGAGAGCAACTTTGATACAGAGGAAACCATGCCTGAAATGGGTCAGCCCAGAAGAATTTAGTAGTAGGTTCTATGCTTCCCTCCAGGGCCTCATGGGCGTGGGCAACTTTTTTTTTTTTCCAGCCACTCACCCTAGGTAATGAAGAAAGCTCTCTGAACTGTGTCCTTGCTGGGCACACAGGCCCCTACCACATGTACATGGCATGGGAGTCATGGCTAAGGCAGGGTAAGACTCCTATTTGAGGCCAGGAAAAGCTAATGACCCTACATTTGGTTCAGTCCTTGTGGGGTCCTGACTAGGGTGTGGGCCACTGTGTTCCCACAGATGCTCTGTTAGCCCTTAGGCTGTGAGATACACAGGCAAATGTTATATTGAAGCCTTTGTTTCTCTTACACGGAGGCAACACTACTGCAGCAGAGCAAACCTTATTGTATCAGTGCACCAACCCCAAGTTCATGTTCATTACAGCAGGAAAAACTAACATGTGGTGAATTCTGCCTCCACAAGGGACAAGGACCTGATAAGACTACAATGACCAGGATGGCCAATATCCCTGTCTTCTTGCAACTCAAACTTTGCCTGGTTACCACCTACTTGCCCCAACTCCTTGGACTCCAGCCCTCCGAGGACAGCCAGACATCTGAAGGAAGTGCCAGGCACAGATGCCAGGTTGCATAAGTGCTGGCCCCTGAGCAACTGGAGAAGCTGTTAGGTCCCAGCTGGCCTAGAGATCCCTGGCTCAGGGAGTATAACTGGATGCCTTGAACAAAGACATGGGGTCACTGGAAAGAGAGGACCGGCTGTCCCTCCCCACTAAGAAATAATTAACTGTTAGATGAGGGGGAATTCCTTTTCAAGGGCTCTGTGGACTGTGCTGCTCTGGAGGGGGTGGGGAGAGGGAGGAGCCCTGAGGTCTGGGCTGGGGTGTGGTTGGGAAGGAGCTGAGAGCTGAGAGCTGTAACTACACAAGGAGCTGCAGGGGTGAGGTTGGTGCAGGGTGGGATTTAGAGGATTTCCCCCAGACTCCTGTGCTGATCCCCTTCATCTCCTCCACCCCCACCCTTGGTGTCTGTCAACATGCGGGGGTGCCCTCATCTTCCCACTGCCCCTGGAGCTGTTCTACTCTTCCACGCTTGCCTTGGGGTTTTCAGAGCAGCATCTTTGTGAGTCCTGGAGTGCTAGGGACCAGGAGGGGAGAGGAGGCAATAGCCTCCTTTAATTTGGCAACAGCTTTTCGTTATCATCTCCACTTTCCAAGGCAGGAAAAGTGAAGGCAACAGCTCTGAGAGATCCTGGAAGAGGAAAAACCATGGCGGGTGAGGCAGGGAGCTGTCTGAGTTTCCTAGCAGACATCAGGAGCCCGCCCTTCCAGGCCTGGGCTTTGCTTCAGTGCCTGGCCCTGCATAGGCCCCTGCCCCTGTCCCGTTCTGCTGCCCCCACCTCCCTCTCAGCCTGGCCCCAGACAGAATCCAGACCAACTCCTGTCTGCTGTGAAAAATGTTCCTGCCAGTTTAGGCAGATCTTGCTTTAGAGCACTGGTGCCCAGCCTTCCACAGGTCTTGTGTCTGTTTTTCTTGGCACTATGTTTCTTCTCATGTATTCTTCTGAATTGGCAAGGCAGGAATTACATCACTGGTTTGCAGATGAGGAAACTGACTCATATGGTTTCATTCAGCACTCATTCACTGTGAAAGTGTCTGTCAGGGCCAATTGTGGGCCAGATGTGCCCAGGGTTCTATAGCTAGCTGGTGGAAAGGCCTGAAGGGTTCATATTCAGGTCCACTTGACTTGAAAACTCATATTGACCTTACTTATGTACTAATTCCCACTTTACAATCCATGCCACAAACTTTATTGTCTTAAGAAGTTGCCACAGCAGCCTTCAGCAGCCACCTTGTCATCAGTCAGCAGTCATCAACATTGAGGCAAGACCCTACTCCAGCAAAAACATTAGTATTAGCTGAAGCCTCAGATGACTGTTAGCATTTTTTAGCAGTAGTGTAATTTTTAATTAAGGTATGTACATATCTATTTTATACATAATGCTATTGTATACTTAATAGGCTAAAGTATAAATATAACTTTTATGTACACTACAAAAACAAAAAAATTGTGTGACTTGTTTTGTTTGCATGATCTGAAACCAAATCTGCAATCTCTCTGAGATATGTCTGTAATTTCCCTTTCCCTCTTCTTGCTGGCCCAGAATGACCTTGTTTCTTGTCCCTGTCTAGCCCTGCCTGTTACAGGGGTTTGCCTTCTCTGGTAGGTCTGGACACTTTGTATCCCCTGTAACCTTGCCTCCTGGCATATGACACTAGTACTAGCCTCAAGCTCTGTTGGACTAGCGAGCCTCACTCCACACCTCCTGAACTAGAACCAAAGCTCTGTGCACACACCATTCATGTGAGTCTGTAGAGATCTCAGCTTCCTGCAGGGTGTTCTGAAAGGGTGTTCTGTTGTGACTGGAGGGCATAGCCACAGGTCTCTGGGCAGAGGTGGCTCAGAAAAGAGTGGGTGGCCCCAGTTTGGGTCATCTGGGAAGGGGAAGATTTTCAGATAAAAACCCATGCCTTAGAAGACAAAACTACCCAAGAGCTGGCAGCAGCTAACCAGCTTGCTATCTGGGATACCACTTTGCAGTGGGAGGGAAGATAGCCTCTACCATGGTGTAGGGGTCCAGGGACCAGGCAGGGAGGTCTTCCTAGTGGTCAGTGCTTCTCACAGTTGGGAGATGAATCACCTTTCGATGAGGCCAAAGACCTCATGTTCCTCACTAGCTGACTCGTTCCCACTCAGTGGAAAAAGAACCCAGAACCTTTGCAAAATTTTAGGAGAGAAGGACTTTCCCTCTTGTCTCTTAGTGCCAGGGTTATGCATGACTCATACTTGAATTGCAATGTGTACACAGCTTAAAGTCTTAATTATTAGAACATAAGAGGCCCAAACCACTGTTGTTATAGATATGTAAAACTATGCAGTACAAAATTAAACAACCCCCAACCAATTAACAGTGGAGATAAATTATCAATATTTGTAAATTTAAAACAAGATCGACAGCCCTTTAGAAAAACAACAAAAAATGAGACTTTTGCAAGACAATCTAAATGATACGCTAATAACAAACCTTCATGAAAATGACATTTCGACCATCTGAGTTTCTGCTTTAAGTTACAAATTCCAAAAGGTACTAATCCCCAATAATTTACAGTAGGGAGCCCTAAGCCACAAAGAAAGGTGTCAGGGCACACCTGAGACCTGAAGTAAGAACATACCCTCCCTCAGGGTCACGAGTGAATCCTCTAAGACCCCTCCTCCCTCAGACACTCCCTCCAGTCATCAGAAGGTCCACACAGCACTAAGACCCAACCACCTCACTGTCTTCACCTCCATGGAGAGAGCCCAGGTGACAGCCACCCCTGCTCCTCCTCCCTCATCTCCCACAGCCTCAGCACCATCGTCCGCCTCGAGTCCACCAGGACTGAGCTCCTCATGCCCTTTCCCTGTTTGTGTCAGTCACACTGGGTCCCCCATATACCCAGCACTTGCATCCCCACAAGGCTCCGCACGCTCTATTCTCTCCCCCCACCATGTCCCCTACCTAACTCCAGAAATCTTCCCTCTGTACTCCCTGGAATCCTCAGTCCATGATCAGCAAAACCTCCTCATTCTCTCTCAGGATGCTCCCTCACCTCGAAGCTCTAGCAGGAACCAGGTCTTCCTGAGGATGTGACCCGCTCTGAAGTTCCCCTACATGGGGGAGTTTCCCAGCAACTTGTACCCCTGGGTTCAGAGGTGAGGTGGGGTCCTTGCTCTTCACTGTGGTTCTCAGACCTTTCTGCATCCCTCCTCCCTAAAACCCCTAAGCTGTCATCAGACTAAGGCCCCGCTCCCCTCATTGTAGCCATTCCCTGTGGGCCCCAAGCCATTCCTGTCAATCCTAACTCTTGTAGCTCCTAGATCACTGTCACCCTCTCCAGCAGTGCTGTCTCCTTGATTCTTTCTGACTTCAACATATGCAGATGTGCTGGGCTGAGTACTAGTCCCCAAAGAGATCCAGTCTTAGTCCTTGGAGTCGGTGAACAGGTTGCATTGCATGGCAAAAGGGACATTACTCATGTAATGAAGATAAAGGACCTTAAAGTAGGGAGATAATCCTGGACTCTCTGTGTGGGCCCGATCAAATCACATGAGCCATTAAAAGGAGAGAATCTGCTCTGGATGGAGTCACATGCTGCAGAGAAGGAAGGCAGAGGAGACACAGCAAAGGGGAGATCAGTGGTTCCAAGCAGGAGGATTGGATGTGCTTTAGGCACCAGAGAGAAGTCTCTAGGATCTAAGGGTGCTCCCAAAAAGGAAGTGGGAAGCTCAGTTCTATCTGCAGGAAGTGAATTCAGACAAGAACCTGAATAAGCTTGGATGTGGACTCTTCCCCAGATTCTCCAGGAAGGAGCACAGACCTGCCCATACCTTGATCTTAGCCCCGTGAGACTGGGTGGACTTGCAACCCACACAACTGTGACATGATAATTAGGTGCTGTTTAAAGCTGCTTGGTTTGTGGTAATTTTTATGGCAGCAATAGACACCTATACAGCAGAGAAGATGCCCTCACTCCCTGGCCTCTCAGATCCTGGAACTCCTTTTCTTCATTACCATCTCCTCTCTCTGCCGGAATCTCAGGACCTTGTCCTCCCCTAGGCCTCATCATGGCAAAGAACCCCAGCCCTTCCGCACTCTCAATCTCACACTTCCCACTCTCTGACCATCTTTCCACTCATCCCCTTGCAGGGTAGCCACAGGCTCTGAAGACACTGATGCTATAATTTGATCATATGCTATAATGTAACATCAGTGAACCACTCATTGCATGTGTGCCTGCTTTCCAGGCATGGAGTCCATTCTGTAGTACATCTATTCCAATAATTTTTCCACCCCCTTGAAATTCCCAATCCAGTGATGCTGCTATCTATTCCTTCTCCCTTAGTGTTTGTTGTCCTCTCCTCCCTCCTCATCCATTTTGGATTCTGTAGTAAATAATTTCCATCCCTCCCTTGCCTCTCCCTTTCGTTGTCACACTTGCCTGGCAAAACTACACAGCTAGTGGATTCCACCTCAGCCTACACTGCACCTGCCCCCATGAGCTGCAGGAGGCTGGAGAGCAGCACACAACATGCTGACTGTTCTCTCTACATTCACGACCCAAACCTCATGGGGAGCCCCCACCATAGCCAGCAATCACCCTCTCCCTGCATGGCTCACCCTCAGCCTCCTCCTGGCCTGGGTGACTCTTACATACCTTCTCTCTGTCCTCACACATCCAATCCTCCTTCCCCATTCTTACTTCCGCTGATGATCTTGCTTCCTACTTCACTGAGAAAACTGAACACATTTAGAAGACAACTTCACAGATTCCACCACCGTCTGCCCATGCATTTGCAGCTGCACCACATGTCAGGCATTTTACTACATGGGGGATTGCTGTGTGTTAAACATCCTGCTCCCAACCAGAGCCAGTTCCTCTGCTGGCACCCTGAACATCATCCCTTCTCATCTACTTAAAGTGTTAGTTCATCAATTAATACCATTTTTTCCCTCTATTGTCATCCCTTTTCCTTTTATTCCAGTGGATCATTGTGGCACTCATGAGGATGCACATCCCAGGCCCTCAGGTAGAGGAAGAATAATTGATGATGTCCCAGCTGTCGCAGCCTGAAATCTATTGTCACGTTTGATCTGAGACCACACCTGCCCCAGCTTTTTCCAACCAATGATTGACCAAAGCAGGAAAACTAAGGCAAGAATATTCCTACTCCGAAGGCTGGCTGAGGCTTCAGGACTCCCTGCCATCCCTACTGAGCTTCCCTTAGCCTACACAGGGTCTAGGATGCTTCCAGCTGACCTTCCTGCCCTCTCTCCTTCACTGGGACTCAGAGTTGCATTGTGATCTGATGGCTTTTCCAGCATTTCTGTCTCTATCCTGATTTTCTCTCACAACTATTTCCCCTAATAAATCCTTACACATTTAATACTGTATTGGGGTCTAACTTCAGGACCGCAGCTATCACAAGTGGTATCAAGGGCGATCCATGAAAATGACCAAAACTGGAAATTTGAAATAAGCTTTCCCACTGCCTGTCAGGCCAAGAGGATGCCATCTAGGTTAGCGGGGGACAAAGAAAGTCCATGGAGAAGTTGCATCTGAGCTGCCGTGGGTCTCACCAGTGCTAACCTGAGAAGATGCTCTGGTTAGGGGAAGCTATGGAAGATGTGGTGATAGAATGCCCTGCACAATAATGATGGAGTTGGGGGTAAACCCACAAAGACAGTGGAGTTGGCTGGTTACTTCCCAGCTGTGTTGATGCTCTATAAAAGGATAATGAGAATCTGCAGGTTGTTAACAGCTGTCACTGGCTATGTGTGAGAGTCTCTGCAGTGTCTCATGGAGAGGCCTTTATCTCCTGGATCAAAAGAGCAGATAGCATGGAATGGTAGCTGAACATCATTATGGTGGGCACAGTGCTCCAGAGACGTTTGATACTCAGCCAACACAGGCCTTTTATAGGAAAGTCAGGGCCCTGGTGGGGGAACCTCAGATTCTGCAAACTAGAACAGAGTTATCTGATGGGTGCCCTCCCCCAGGACCCCCTGGGCATGCAGAGGAGGCTCACCCTTCTCTAGTAATCGTTCCCACTTCCTATGCTGAAAGATGCTACAGAAGCCTCACCCCTACGATGCAGCAGGAATCCCACTCAGGAGCTTTGCAGGAACTAGCCAGCATGTCCCCATAGGGGCCTGGGGTGCACTTCTGGGATTGGAATTTGAGGGTATTTGATCAATAAACTAGAATTTCAGTCTGGATGAATAAAAATCCTTTGGCTTGGAGGCACTTTCTCAGGACATGGGTTTATCAAAGAACCCAGGACATGGGGTAAACCCACTACTGGGGTGAGTCCATATAGACTGGAAAAAATGATGCCCAACTCTCAACAAGGTAGATATGACCTAGTTATCCTGGAACATGTAGAGGACGCAATAACAAGGCTGAGGGAAGTGGGTGTGATGAAGGCCCACCAGGACCATGCTCCACAAGAGGACCCAGAGGGCACACCTTCCACCAGAGCCTCAGGAACATGCTGTGGAGAGGGACCTGCATCACTAAGAAGTGTCGGGGTGTTATCCTCTGCAGGCTGGGCGTGATGATAGTAAAGGTCCCAGAGTTGTGCTTATTCATATCTCTGGGGAGAATGTGGGCCTGCAGAGACTGAGAACAAGTGGTGGCAGTGACCTGCAAAAGCCGGAGGGCATGGTTACCATGGCAACCTCAGAGGAGCAGCCAAGGGGACTCAAGCTGCAGGGAGTGTGGGGAAAGTTAGTAGAGAGGACACCAGGGTTACAAGAGGCAGCCAACAAGGGCACTGCTTGATATATATGATAAGAAAGCAAGAATTGAGGAGCAGGAGACTGAGGGTGTTCGACCAAATACAAAGCCATGATCCCCTTCTCAATGCCTAGACTTCAATCAAGATTCAGACTCAGATCTCAGTGACAGAGGAGGAGTCCATATCCCTAGAGAAAGGACCCTGGGACACCATGGAGGTATATGGCTGGGACAATTCCCTCAGTCTTTCGGCAAGGGAACCTATAGCCATTTACTCAGGAGACTGTACATTGGGGAAGGGAAATAGGCAGAACTAGGGGGATCATTTTCATTGCATGTAAGCTGATATTGATGCCCAGATGCCCACAGCACAATCATCTTCTCCATCACAGTGGGGCTTACGGAGGCCAGGGAGTAAACCTGGACACATTATGGCCCGCAATGGGACCACTGGATGCATAGACCCAACCCTGATTATCTTCCAATTCCCTGAGTGCATAATTGACACTGATGCTCTGGTAAGTGGAGTCACCCCCACACTGGGTCCCCAGTCTGTGGTATAAGGGATCTCTTGATGCCAAAGGCCAAAGGGAAACCTCTGAAACTGCCCCCATCCTGGCCAAATCAAAAATCATAGTGTGTCCCAGGGTGGGTCTTGTGAAGGACACTGCAAGTATTGTGGGGGTCACACCACCATTACAAAGCTGAAGGAGGCGGGGTGGTGTTGAGGCTGCCTATTGTCTCCGTGTAATCCAGCAATCTGTCCCTGAGGAAGCCTAGTGAGGCCTAAAGAATGAATGAGATTACTCCAGATATGGCCAAGTAGGAGTTATAAGTGCAGCTTTTGTGCTGTCTGGATATCACTGGTAGAGCAGATTAACAAAGCCTTGGGCACACAGTGTGCAGCTGTGGATTTGGTGAGTGCATTTCTTTCCATTCCAGTTACAAAGGGTATATGGAGTGATTCACATTCATGTGGGATCCACAACACATTGAATTATAGTTTGCCTCAGGACTTTTGTAACTCCCCTGTCCTCTATAGTATAGTCTTATGACTATACTAGACATACTGGATATCCTAAAGGATATTAAATCAGCTCATTTCATTCACAACTTCATGTTGACTGGGGCGAATGAGCAGCAGGTAGAAAGTGCACTGGCATCGTTGGCAAAACATTTGCACTTCAGAAGGTGAAGATAAACCTTACAGAGCTTCAGGAAAGGTCACTGTAGTGAAGTTTTATGAGTCCAGTGTTTAGGGGAATGCAGGGGTGTCCCCTCCTAGGTAAATTACAAAGTGTTGCATTTTGCATCCTTAGTGCAAAAAAAGAAAGCACACTCCCCGGTGAGCCTCTTGGAGTTCTGACGACAGCACATTCCACATGTAGAAATGTTGCTTTGGCCCACACTCTAGGTGACATAGGAGGAGGCCAGCTTCAAGTGAGGCCTACACAGGAAAGCACCCTGCAGCAGATACAGGCTGCGGTGCAGCCACCATCCCTCAGACCTCTTGGTACTGGAAGGGGCAGGGGTGGGGAAAGATGCAGGATGGAGCTGAACCAAGCAGCAGTGGGAGAGTCATGGTGGAGGGCCTGGGATCTGGAGTAAGATCATGTCATCCACAGCAGAGACATGGCTCCCCATTAGAAGCAACTTTTAGTGTTCCTGGTCCTGATTCGATAGAATGCTTAACCACAGGACACCAAGCAATGATGTGATTCCAAGTACCTGTGTGAATTGGCTTCTGTGTGACCCAGAAAGTCATAGATTGGACAGGCCCAACAGCATTCATCATGAGGTGAAAATGGTCCACCTGGGTTGTGCTTGAATCCCATGTTGACACCCCCAGAAAACACCCAAGTCTGAAGCAGCACTGAACAACCAAACAGACAAATGGAAGTTAGCCAGCCTTCACTATGGGTCAACGCAGGCCTGGTAGGATGGGCACATGAATGGAGCAAGCACAGTGGCAGGCCTGAGGCTACATATGGGGCCAGAAGTACTGACTCCCCATTATCAAGACAGATCCAGCTGCTGCCACCTCTGAATGTCCAACTCATCAGCATTTGAGGCCCACCATGTGCCCTCGTGGGGCACTATTTCTTTAGGTGACTAACTAGCCACTATGTAACAAGTTGACTACATTTAGCTACTTCCATCCTAGAAGGGCCTGAGGTTCATCTTCACAGGGGTAGGCTCATATTCCATGGGTGAGTTTTCCTGTCCTGCTCTCGGACACTCAGCCAGCACCACTCTCTGGGTGCTGTTGACATTCCTGATCCACAGGCTAGGCGGTGCTCCCAACCCAGTATCTGCCTGAAGGACCCACTTGGCAGGGAAAGTTCCAGTGTTTCCGTGGCTATGGGTTTCACTGATCTGATCACCATCTGCACCACCCAGGGGCTGCCAGCCACAAGGAATGCTGGAAATGTCTTCTACAGGCAAAACTCAGTGTCATCCTGGAGGAAGCACTCTGAGGGGTGGGGGCCGTTTTTCAGGACATGGTGCATTGTTTGAATCAGAGACATCTCTACGGTGCTGTGTTCTCAATAGGAAGAAGATGTGGGTCTAGAAACCGAAAGTTGGAAGCAGGTTTGTCTCCATGTCCAGTCTCTTAGATTCACCCACTGGGGTATTTTGCACGTTTTATCTCCCAACTTTGGGCTGTTCAGGGCAGGAGGTCCTTAAAAGGAGACACATGACAGCCCATTGAACTACACATTATGGTTGTCACCAGAGAAGTTTGGACAGTATGTGCCCAGAGACCAGCTGGTGAGAAAAGGAGTCTCTTCCTCTCCAGGTGCAGGTAATAGATCCTGATCTCCAGGAGGAGGCATGGCTACTTTCACACAATGAGGGCAGAAGTGTGTGTGTGAGAACCAGAGATCTACTTGGGGGCCTTCTGGTTTGCCTTGTCCCTTTGTAAATGTGAGCAGAATCATCCAGCAATCCAGCCTGAGAGGATTTGATTTCCAAGGGCCCAGACCTCTCAGGACAGGAGGTTTGAGCCACACTCCTGGGTAATCACCCAAGGCCCCACTCCTGTGCTCTGACATCCTCAGTGTCATTGGTGCAGAGACCCTGCTTCCCATGGGCTGTTCCCAGCCAGTGATGGGTCACACCAGTGACATTGAGGCAGGACATTCCTGGGAGACCAGGGACTCCTCTGACGGACAGCAGTGGCTCAAAGACTCCTCCATGGCTTTGCTCAACTCTCCTGAGATTGCCTGTGGTCTAGGACACATCCAGTAAACCTTCTGTCCTTCTGTCCATCACTGGGGGTCACATTTGCATCTTGGTCTGTTGCCTTTCCCAGGGTAACCTGCCTCCGTTGCTATATCTCTGACAGGTGTGTCCCCTAATAAAATCCTGTAACTTTAATCCCATGATGGCACTTGGAATGCAAAATCATTTTCATCTGCACACCAGTGACCTCTTACTTACTCCAATTTGTAAAATCCTTTTGTTTGTTCAACTTCTTCTACCTGCATTGGCTCCATTTTGCTAGTATTTGTATTATGCTTTTGAGATAGTCGATGTTTGTTGCTTTAAGTCACTAAATTTGGGGGTAGTTTGTTATACAGCAATGGATAACTAATGAAGCCCTCTTACATTTCTGTTATTCTATAGAGGTTAAATACATCCGTTTTATTTCCTCCCATTTTGATAATATTAGCCATATATTGGGTTCCTAGTTTCTCTACGCCTGTTTTTTTCTTTATTTTCGTTTCTTTTCTCCTTTATTCCTTCCCTTTCTTCTCACTTCTATCTCTCCCTCCCTCTCTTTCTTTTCTATTTCCATTTGCCCTCCCTCCCTCCTTCTCTTCCCCTTCCTTCTTTGCTTCCTTCACTCCTCTCTCCTTCTTTCTCTCCTTTCCTCCATTTTTTTCTTTTTTATTATGACATATTCTGACATATAAAATAACCCTATGTGTTTGTACTATAAGGAAACATTTTCTGAATCTATATGTTAAAAGTATAAAGCCATGGTATATAGGATACAAGTTAACAACAGGAAGTTATTAACAGAGTCTGAATAAGAATGCCTGCTATAGGCTGGGCATGGTGACTCATGCCTGTAATCCCAGCACTTTGGGAGGCCTAGACGGGCGGATCACGAGGTCAGGGGATAGAGACCATCCTGGCTAACACGGTGAAACCCTGTCTTTACTAAAAATACAAAAAAAAAATTAGCCGGTGTGGTGGCAGGCACCTGTAGCCCCAGCTACTCAAGAGGCTGAGGCGGGACAATGGCGTGAACCCAGGAGGTGGAGCTTGCAGTGAACCGAGATTGTGCCACTGCACTCCAGCCTGGGTGACAGAGCAAGACTCCGTCAAAAAAAAAAAAAAAAAAAAATCTGCTATAATTCTGCAGCCAAGGCAGTTGCTATTAACTCTTAATTCCTTCAACTCAGTGTTTTCAGAACACATCAACATCACATATTACACATTTATTGTAAAAGCTTAAGTTGGCACAATTACTTTGGAAATCATATTATCATTATTTAGTATGGTTAAAGGCCATACAACATATCATCCAACCATCCCACTCCTAATCATACACTCTGGCGGCTTTCTCGCCTATGTGCCCAGGAGACATGCACACTAATGTTTATGGCAAAAACTGGAATCAGCCTCCTATACATCAATAGCAAAGTAGTGAAATTGTGATATAACCATAAAATGTAAACCTTCAGCAGTAAAAATGAGTGAATGACAGCCTCCCACACAACAGATAACTCCTATACATAATGTGCATCATGAGAAAAGAAATGCAGTAGGAATTTCTGTACAGGAAGCTTAAAAACCAGTGAAACTAATATTTGGTTTGAGATTATATATACTTATTGTACAAATATTTAAAGAAATACAAAGTAATAATAAAAACAAGACTCAGGATGGGGTCTCATTCTGGGGGATGTGATTGGGCAGCAGCCCAGGGTGGCTTTGCGGGTTCTGTGTCTTACGCCAGTGCTGGGAACCCAGGTAACTACTAGATTATAACTCCTTAAACAGTATTTTTCAAACTAAAATATACCTGTTTCTTAAAAAATGAAAGAAAAAAATATCAAAGTTCATTGCAAGGATCCTTAACAAGAACTACTTACATTGGAAGAAAACCACAGAGAATTGTAAGGAGCCACATGACAGAGAGGCTCCTTACAGGATGCCATGACAATACCCTTGGCTAAAGGGCCATATGATCCTTGGCTCACAGGCATCTCTCTAGATTTTCAGGTATACAAGATTCAATCTGATGTGCAAGGTAATTCCATCTTGCAAAGGATTTGATTTGTTACATATTCCACACATACAACTGAATTAAACTTTTACAGAATTGGAAATGCACATCATTGATCAAAATAGATGAAACAATAAAAGAGTATAAAGGAACAACCAGTGATGGAATAGCAAATATGAATGGAAAACACAACAGGATTGCTCAAAAAAACTTGAAAGCACAAAATTGCAGTGCTATTTAGAATCATAGTGGTGTCCAAATCACTTCTATCATATCTGATTCAATACCAGAACAAAAGATGTTAAGTTTATTATAGAATGCTCACCAAATAGCCAGTTTTTGAAAAATCTTATGCCTCAGTTGGAGCTAACCATTTTGGGCTACTGCATCCAACCAAAGCTATTGACATCTTGCTAAGCTAGATGTGTTAACTGAGGTATGAGATTCACATTTTTGTAAATTAAAACCAATTAGGCAAATTTTTTAAAGTGAAATCAAGTTTATGAGAGAAGTAAGGAAACAAAAGAATGGCTACTCAATAGACACAACAGCCCTTTTTTTTAAGTGTAGGCAAATGTTTTTTGAAGATGATATTTCAATAAGAAAATTGGCACTTGGGGCATACTTCAACTAAATGTGAGACACCTTAGTTGAAACAAAGACTTATTTTCAAGTCATTATTTTTACGGCACAGAAGTCTTTGGAATATTTGCTCTAGTTACTCTGGGTTCTCAACTGTTGACTCATTGAAGAGAATATTGTTATTAAAGGTATTTGCAAGAAAAACTCAGACATACTATTGTATCCTCTTTCTCTGTCTCAAACTGTTTTCCCCACAACACCCAAGGCTCTGTGATGTCTCAAACTTTTAATCATTAATTTAAAAAGAGAAGCTTATCACAGAATTAGAAGAAACTATTTTAAAATTCATATGGAACCAAAAAAGAGCTCATATAGCCCGGACAATCCTACACAAAAAGAACAAAGCGGGCGGCCTCAGACTACCTGATTTCAAACTATACTACAGGCTACAGTAACCAAAACAGCATGGTAATAGACTAATGGAAGAGAGTAGAGAACTCAGAAATAAAACCGCATATCTAAAACCATCTGATCTTCAACAAACCTGATGAAAACAAGCAACAGGGAAATGATTCCATATTTAATAAATGATGTTGGGAAAACGGGCTAGCCATTTGCAGAAAACTGAAACCGGACCCCTTCCTTACATCTTACACAAAAATTAACTCTAGATGGATTAAAGACCTAAATGTAAAACCCAAAACTATAAAAACCCAAGAAGAAAATCTAGGCAATACCATTTGCCTGGGCATGGGCAAAGATTTTATGATGAAATCGCCAAAAGCATCTGCCACAAAAGCAAAAACTGACAAATGGGATCTAATTAAACTAAAGAGCTTCTGCACAGGAAAAGACACTGTGATCAGAGTGAACAGACAACCTACAGAATGAAAGAAAATTTTTGTAATCTATCCATCTGACAAAGATCTAATATCCACAATCTACAAGGAAATTAAGCAAATTTACAAGAAAATAACAAACAACCCCATTAAAAAGTGGGCAAATGACATGAACAGACACTTCTCAAAAGAAGACATACATGTGGCCAACAAACATATGAAAAAAAGCTCATCATCACTGGTCATTAGAGAAATGCAAATCAAAACCACAATGAGATACCATCTCATGCCAGTCAGAATGGTGATTATTAAAAAGTCAAGAAACAACAGATACTGGCAAGGTTGCAGGGAAATAGGAATGCTTTAACTGTTGGTGGGAATGTAAATTAGTTCAACCATTGTGGAAGACTACATTGTAGATTCCCCAAAGATCTAGAACTAGAAATACCATTTGACCCAGCAATCCCATTACTGGGTATATACCCAAAGAAATATAAATCATTCTATTATAAAGTTACATCCATGTGTATGTTCATTGCAGCACCACTCACAATAGCAAAGACATGGAATCAACCTAAATGCCCATCAACAATAGACTGGATAAAGAAAACATACCACATGTACACCATGGAATACTATGCAGCCTTAAAAAGGAAGGAGATCATGTTTTGCAGGGACATGGAAAAAGCTGGAAGCCATTATCCTCAACAAACTAATGCAGAAACAGAAAAACAAACACTGCATGTTCTCACTGATAATTGGGAGCTGAGCAATGAGAATCCATGGGCACTGGGAGGGGAACACTGTGTCCTTTTGGGGGAGGGCAGAGGTGGGGTGTGCATTAGGAAAAATAGCTCATTCATGCTAGGCTTAATACCTAGGTGCTGGGTTGATAAGTGTAGCAAAACACCATGGCACACGTTTACCTATGTAACAAACCTGCACATCCTGCATATGTACCCTGAAACTTAAAATAAAAATTAAAAAGAAGCTTAAAGCATTAAAGAAAAATAATCACATGAAAGAAGCATTTGATTTACAAAATCCTGAAATAATAATTTTAATTTTGCTTTCAACATGTATGCAAATCCCTTGATACTCCTCCCTTCCAATGGTGCAGCTTAATTCCTTCCCTGTGAGTTCGGCTTGGACTTAATGATGCACTTCTGATATGGCCTCACCCTGTGTCCCCACCCAAACTCATCTTGAATTGTAATCCCCACGTGCTAGGGGAAAGACATGGTGGGAAGTGATTAGATCATGGGGATGGTTCCCTCATGCTGTTCTCATGATAGTGAGTGAGTTCTATGAGATCTGATGGTTTTACAAGAGTCTTCCCTGCCACCCCCGCCCCCCACAACCTTGCATTTCTCTCTCCCACCACCATGTGAAGAATGACATGCTTCCTTCCCCTTCTGCCATGATTGTAAATTTCCTGAGGCCACCTCTTCAGTCATGCAGAACTGTGAGTCAATTAAACCTCTTTCCTTTATAAATTACCCAGTCTCAGGTATTTCTTTATAGCAGTGTGAGAACAGACAAATACAACTTCTAACTGATAGAGTAGTGCTGATATAACAGTTTTTGACTCTGGGTGTAGAACATAAAACTCACTGCAGCTTCTCTCTCTCTGTCTCTGGGATCATGAGCTCTGGGGGAAGCCAACTGCTGTGCCATAAGCAGCCCTGCAGGAAGGTCCATGTGGCTAAAAACTGAGGCCTCCTGGGACCAGACAACAAGGAACCATGTGAGTGAGCCATGTTTCATGTAAATCCCAAGCCCTAGTGAAGCTCTCAGACGATGCAGCCCTGGACTGGACTGTAACCTTGTGAGAGGCTCTGAGCCAGAAGCACTCAGGGAAACCTTGCTCCTGGATTCCTGACCATTGAAAACTGCGGTAGATGATGTTTGTTGTTTTGCGCTGCTAAGTTTTATGTAATTTGTTATGCAATAGTAAATAACTAATACATTTTCATAAGAGAGGATGATTTATTGCACTTCAATTTTCATTTGCTCTAAATTTATGATCATGATTATTACTATTTTTGAGACAGCATCTTGCTCTGTCACAGAGGCTAGAGTGCAGTGGCATGTTCACCATTCACTGCTGTGTTGACTTCCTGTGCTCAAATATCCTCTGACCTCAGCCTCCTGAGTAGCTGGCTGGGACTACAGGCATGAACCACCATGCCTGGATAATACTCTAATGTTTTTGTAGAGATGGAGGTTTCACCATGTTGCCCAGGCTGATCTCAAACTCTTGGAGTCAATGGATCTGCCTTCCTCTGCCCGCCACAGTGCTAGGATTGGAGGTGCCAGCCACCACACCTGGCATGAATTAATTATAAGCTATTAAACCTGTCACTTGATTGTAAGAGGTAAGGTGAATCTCCATGGCTGAAGAGGATGTATTTTATTATCATTCACAATGATCGCTTTACTTGAACTTCAATTTCCAACTGTGTCTCAATTAAACACAAAAGGAAAATCCAACCCTTGCTAGGCTGATTCTATAATAGCCCCAACAACCAGCTCCTGGTCATCCACCTTCCCCCAATTATTCAACCAACTCTACTGTAGGTGCTGCTGTGAAGGGATTTAGCAGATATAATCAAGGTCCTCAATCAGTTGACTTGAGGCTGGGTTTAGCCTGCTTGGACAGTCCTAATCAGGTGAGCCCATGAAAGGACTGGGTTCTTCCTGAGCATAGAGATTCACAGTGTGAGAGGGATTCAGTGTGAGGGGTTTCCTCCACTGTGGGCTTTGAAATTGAAGGGGCTGACTAGAAAAGAATGCTGCTTGGCTCCTGGCATTGAGCACAGCCCTCCCTCCTCTCTACCTTGACAGCTAGCAGGGAACAGGAAACTCAGTCTCAACGACTGTCAGAAACTGAATTCTGCCGCCTCTATATATGCTTGAAGGAGGATTCAAAATGAAAACACAGCTTTGGGAAGCCCTGAATAGAGACCCCGTCTACATCATGCCTGGATTTCTGCCTAAAGAACTGTAAACAGATCAGTGGATGTTGTTTGGGCAGGTGTGGTAGCACACACCTGCAATCCTAACATTTGAGGGGCTTACACAGGAGGATCACTTACACTCAGGAATTTGAGACCAGCCTGGGTAATGCAATGAGACTCTCATCTCTACAATTTTTTTTTTTAATTAGCTGGGCGTGGTGGCATTTGCCTGTAGTTCTAGTTACTCTGAAGACTGAGCCAGGAGGATCCTTTGAGCCCAGGATTTCAAGGCTGCAGTGAGCCATGACTGTGTGACTGCACTTCAAAATGGATGAGAGAAAGAGACCATTTCTCTAAAAATAAATGAATTAATTAAATAAATGGGTATTGTTTAAAGCCAATATTTGTGATAATTTGTTGTGCAGTCATAAAATTCGTACAGTCTCAACAGACAAATGGAATGAATTTATGAATTGATATGCACACTAGTTACATAAAATAAAAACTTTCTCAATCTTTTCCAGTATTGTTTATTTTATAATTTTCTGTGATGAAATTAAATTTTAATACACTCATATTTCATTTATTCAGTCAACAAAAATTAATTCGGGGAATAGGAACAGCTCCAGTCTATAGCTCCCAGGGTGAGCAACGCAGAAGACGAATGATTTCTGCATTTCCAACTGAGGTACCAGGTTCATCTCACTGGGGACTGTCAGACAGTGGGTGCATGACATTGGGTGCAGTGCACCAAGTGTGAGCCAAAGCAGGGCGAGGCCACGCCTCACCCAGGAAGCGCAAGGGGTCAGGGAATTCCCTTTCCTAGCCAAGGAAAGGGGTGACAGATGGCACCTGGAAAATTAGGTCACTCCCACCCTAATACTGCACTTTTCCTATGGTCTTAGCAAACGGCACACCAGGAGATTATATCCCATGCCTGGCTCGGAGGGTCCTACGCCCACAGAGCCTCGCTCATTGCCAGCACAGCAGTCTGAGATCAAACTGCAAGGTGGCAGCAAGGCTGGGGGAGGGGTGCCCGCCATTGCTGAGGCTTGAGTAGGTAAACAAAGCGGCCAGGAAGCTCGAACTGGGTGGAGCCCACACAGCTCAAGGAGGCCTGCCTGCCTCTGTAGACTCCACCTCTGGGGGCAGGGCATAGCCAAACAAAAGGCAGCAGAAACCTCTACAGACTTAAATGTCCCTGTCTGACAGCTTTGAAGACAGTAGTGGTTCTCCCGCATGCAGCTTGAGACCTGAGAACAGACAGACTGCCTCCTCAAGTGGGTCCCTGACTCCCAAGTAGCCTGACTGGGAGGCACCCCCCAGTAGGGGCAGACTGACACGTCACACGGCCAAGTACTCCTCTGAGACAAAACCTCCAGAGGAAAGATCAGGCAGCAACATTTGCTGTTCACCAATATGCATTGTTCTGCAGCCTCCACTGCTGATACCCAGGCAAACAGGGTCTGTAGTGGACCTCCAGCAAACTCCAACAGACCTGCAGCTGAGGGTCCTGACTGTCAGAAGGAAAACTAACAAACAGAAAGGACATCCACACCAAAACCCCATTTGTACGTCACCATCATCAAAGACCAAAGGTAGATAAATCCACAAAGACGGGGAAAAAACAGAGCAGAAAAACTGAAAATTCTAAAAATCAGAGTGCCTCTCCTCCTCCAAAGGAATGTAGCTCCTCACTAGCAATGGAACAAAGCTGGAAGGAGAATGACTCTGATAGGTTGAGAGAAGAAGGCTTCAGACGATCAAACTTCTCCGAGCTAAAGGAGGAAGTTCGAACCCATGACAAAGAAGTTAAAAACCTTGAAAAAAGATGAGATGAATGGCTAACTAGAATAACCAATGCAGAGAAGTCCTTAAAGGACATGATGGAGCTGAAAACTACGGCACGAGAACTAAGTGATGAATGCACAAGCTTCAGTAGCTGATTCGATCAACTGGAAGAAAGGTTATCAGTGATGGAAGATCAAATGAATGAAATGAAGTGAGAAGAGAAGTTTAGAGAAAAAAGAATAAAAAGAAATGAACAAAGCCTCCAAGAAATATGGGACTATGTGAAAAGACCAAATCTGCATCTGATTGGTGTACCTGCAAGTGACGGAGAGAATGGAACCAAGTTGGAAAACACTCTGCAGGATATTATCCAGGAGAACTTCCCCAATCTAGCAAGGCAGGCCAACATTCAAATTCAGGAAATAGAGAGAACACAACAAAGATACTCCTCAAGAAGAGCAACTCCAAGACACATAATTGTCAGATTCACCAAAGTTGAAATTAAGGAAAAAATGTTAAGGGAAGACAGAGAGAAAGGTCGGGCTACCCACAAAGGGAAACCCATCAGACTAACAGCTGATCTCTCAGCAGAAACTCTACAAGGCAGAAGAGAGTAGGGGCCAATATTCAACTTTCTTAAAGAAAAGAATTTTCAGCCCAGAATTTCAAATCCAGCCAAACTAAGCTTTGTAAGTGAAGGAGAAATAAAATCCTTTACAGACAAGCAAATCCTGAGAGATTTTGTCACCACCAGGCCTGCCTTACAAGAGCTCCTGAAGGAAGCACTAAACATGGAAAGGAACAACTGGTACCAGCCACTGCAAAAACATGCCAAATAGTAAAGACCATTGAGGCTAGGAAGAAACTGCATCAACTAATGAGCAAAATAACCAGCTAACATCATAATGACAGGATCAAATTCACACATAACAATATTAACCTTAAATGTAAATGGGCTAAATGCTCCAATTAAAAGACACAGACTGGCAAATTGGATAAAGAGTCAAGACCCATCAGTGTGCTGTATTCAGGAAACCCATCTCACGTGCAGAGACACACATAGGCTCAAAATAAAGGGATGGAGGAAGATCTACCAAGCAAATGGAAAACAAAAAAAGGCAGGGGTTGCAATCCTAGTCTCTGATAAAACAGACTTTAAACCAACAAAGATCAAAAGAGACAAAGAAGGCCAATACATAATGGTAAAGGGATCAATTCAATGAGAAGAGCTAACTATCCTAAATAGATATGCACCCAATACAGGAGCACCCAGATTCATAAAGCAAGTCCGTAGAGACATATAAAGAGACTTAGACTCCCACACAATAGTAATGGGAAACTTTAACACCCCACTGTCAACATCGGACAGATCAATGAGACAGAAAGTTAACAAAGATATCCAGGAATTGAACTCAGCTCTGCACCAAGCAGACCTAATAGACTTCTACAGAACTCTCCACCCCAAATCAACAGAATATACATTCTTCTCAGCACCACACCGCACTTATTCCAAAACTGACCACATAGTTGGAAGTAAAGCACTCCTCAGCAAATGTAAAAGAACAGAAATTATAACAAACTGTCTCTCAGACCACAGTGCAATCAAACTAGAACTCAGGATTAAGAAACTCACTCAAAACTGCTCAACCACATGGAAACTGAACAACCTGCTCCTGAATGACTACTGGGTACAAAACGAAAGGAAGGCAGAAATAAAGAGGTTCTTTGAAACTAACGAGAACAAAGACACAACATACCAGAATCTCTGGGATGCATTCAAAGCAGTGTGTAAAGGGAAATTTATAGCACTAAATGCCCACAACAGAAAGCAGGAAAGATCTAAAATCGACACCCTAACATCACAATTAAAAGAACTAGAGAAGCAAGAGCAATCACATTCAAAAGCTAGCAGAAGGCAAGAAATAACTAAGATCAGAGCAGAACTGAAGGAGATAGAGACACAAAAAACCCTTCAAAAAATCAATGAATCCAGGAGCTGATTTTTTGAAAAGACCAACAAAATTGATAGACCACTAGCAAGACTAATAAAGAGAGAAGAATCAAATAGATGCAATAAAAATGATAAAGGGGATATCACCACCAATCCCACAGAAATACAAACTACCATCAGAGAATACTATAAACACCTCTATGCAAATAAACTAGAAAATCTAGAAGAAATGGATAAATTCCTCGACGCATACACCCTCCCAAGACTAAACCAGGAAGAAGTTGAATCTCTGAATAGACCAATAACAGGATCTGAAATTGAGGCAATAATTAATAGCTTACCAACCAAGAATAGTCCAGGACCAGATGGATTCACAGCCGAATTCTACCAGAGGTACAAGGAGGAGCTGGTACCATTCCTTCTGAAACTATTCCAATCAATAGAAAAAGAGAGAATCCTCCCTAACTCATTTTATGAGGCCAGCAGCATCCTGATACCAAAGCCGGGCAGAGACACAACAAAAAAAGAGAATTTTAGACCAATATCCCTGATGAACATAGATGCAAAAATCCTCAATAAAATACTGGCAAACCGAATCCAGCAGCACATCAAAAAGCTTATCCACCATGATCAAGTGGGCTTCATCCCTGGGATGCAAGGCTGGTTCAACATACGAAAATCAATAAACATAATCCAGCATTTAAACAGAACCAACGACAAAAACCACATGATTATCTCAATAGATGCAAAAAAGGCCTTTGACAAAATTCAACAACCTTCATGCTAAAAACTCTCAATAAATTAAGTATTGATGGGACGTATCTCAAAATAATAAGAGCTATCTATGACAAACCCACAGCCAATATCATACTGAATGGGCAAAAACTGGAAGCATTCCCTTTGAAAACTGGCACAAGACAGGGATGCCCTCTCTCATCACTCCTATTCAACATAGTGTTGGAAGTTCTGGCCAGGGCAATTAGGCAGGAGAAGGAAATAAAGGGTATTCAATTAGGAAAAGAGGAAGTAAAATTGTCCCTGTTTGCAGATGACACGATTGTATGTCTAGAAAACCCCATCAACTCAGCCCAAAATCTCCTTAAGCTGATAAGCAACTTCAGCAAAGTCTCAGGATACAAAATCAATGTGCAAAAATCACAAGCATTCTTACACACCAATAACAGACAGACAGCCAAATCATGAGTGAACTCCTATTCAAAATTGCTACAAAGAGAATAAAATACCTAGGAATCCAACTTACAAGGGATGTGAAGGACCTCTTCAAGGAGAACTACAAACCTGTTCAATGAAATAAAAGAGGATACAAACAAATGGAAGAACATTCCACGTTCATGGATAGGAATAATCCATATCGTGAAAATGGCCACACTGCCCAAGGTAATTTATAGATTCAATGCCATCCCCATCAAGCTACCAATGACTTTCTTCACAGAATTGGAAAAAACTACTTTAAAGTTCATATGGAACCAAAAAAGAGACCACATTGCCAAGAGAATCCTAAGCCGAAAGAACAAAGCTGGAGGCATGACGCTACCTGACTTCAAACTATACTACAAGGCTGTAGTAACCAAAACAGTATGGTACTGGTACCAAAACAGAGATACAGACCAATGGAACAGAACAGAGGCCTCAGAAGTAACACCACACATCTACAATCATCTGATCTTTGACAAACCTGACAGAAACAAGCAATAGGGAAAGGTGCTGGGAAACTTAATAAATGGTGCTGGGAAAACTGGCTAGCCACATGTAGAAAGCTGAAACTGGATCCCTTCCTTACAACTTATACAGAAATTAATTCCAGATGGATTAAAGACTTCAATGTTAGACCTAAAACCATAAAACCCAAAAGAAAACCTAGGCAATACCACTTAGGAAATCAGCATGGGCAAGGATTTCGTGACTAAAACACCAAAAGCAATGGCAACAAAAGCCAAATTAGACAAATGGGATCGAATTAAACTAAAAAGCTTCTGCACAGCAAAAGAAACTACCATCAGAGTGAACAGGCAACCTACAGAATGGGAGAAAATTTTTGCAGTCTACCCATCAAACAACCCCATAAAAAGTGGGCAAAGGATATGAACAGACACTTCTCAAAAGAAGACATTTATGCAGCCAACAGACACATGAAAAAATGCTCATCATCACTGGCCATCAGAGAAATGCAAATCAAAACCACAATGAGATACCATCTCACACCAGTTAGAATGGCAATCATTAAAAAGTCAGGAAACAACAGGTGCTGGAGAGGATGTGGAGAAACAGGAACACTTTTACACTGTTGGTGGGACTGTAAACTAGTTCAACCATTGTGGAAGACAGTGTGGCAATTCCTGAAGGATCTAGAACTAGAAATACCATTTGACCCAGCCATCCCATTACTGGGTATATGCCCAAAGGATTATAAATCATGCTACTATAAAGACACATGCACATGTATGTTTATTGTGGCACTATTCACAATAGCAAAGAATTGGAACCAACCCAAATGTCCATCAATGATAGACTAGATTAAGAAAATGCAGCACATATACACCATGGAATACTATGCAGCCATAAAAAGGATGAGTTCATGTCCTTTGTAGTGACATGGATGAAGCAGGAAACCATCATTCTGAGCAAACTATCACGAAGACAGAAAATCAAACAGTGCATGTTCTCACTCATAGGTGAATTGAACAATGAGAACACTTGGACACAGGATGGGGAACATCACACACTGGGGCCTGTCGTCGGGTGGCGGGATGGGGGAGGGATAGCATTAGGAGAAATACCTAATGTAAATGACTAGTTAAAGAGGGCAGCAAACCAACAGGGCACATGCATACATATGTGACAAACCTGCACGTTATGCACATGTACCATAGAACTTAAAGTATAATTTTAAAAAAATGTAAGAGAAAAGAATACCAAAGTTAATTGCAAGGATCCTTAATAAGAACTACTTACATTGGAAGCAAACCACAGAGAATTGTAAGGAGTCATGTGACAGAGAGGACCAGGATGCCAAGAAAATGGACTTGGCTAAAAATAGGTCATTTAACCCTTGGCTGACTGGCATCTCTCTAGATTTTCAGTTATACAATGTTCAATCTGCTGTGCAAGGTAATTCCATCTTGCAAAGGATTTGATGTTACATTCTACCACACATACAACTGAATTAAACTTTTACGGAATTGGAAATGCAAATAATTGATCAAAATAAATCAAACAAGAAAAGAATAGGAAGGAATAACCAGTGATGGAATATCAAATATGAATGGAAAACAGAATAGGACTGCTAAAAAGAAAAAAAATTTCAGAAGCACATAATAGCCGTGTTATTTAGAATCATAGTGGTGTGCAAATGACTTCTATCACATCTCATTCAATACCAGAGCAAAAGATGTTAAGTTTATTATGTAATGCCCACCAAATAGCTAGCTTTTGAAAAAAACTTGTTTCTCAATTTGAGCTAACCATTTCAGGCTACTGCATCAAACCAAAGTTATTGGCATCATGCTAAGCTAGATGTGTTGACTGAAGTATGAGATTCACACTTTTGTAAATGAAAAGCAATTTGATTAGGCAATGTTTTCCTAAGTGAAAGCAAGTTATTAGAGAAGTAAAGAAACAAAAGAATGGCTACTCCATATAGTGGAGTTTTTGTTTTTTTTTTTTAAGTGTAGGCAAATGTTTAGTGAAGATGATATTTCAATAAGAAAATTGGTGCTTGGGACGTGCTTCCACTAAATTTGAGATATCTTAGACAAAACAAAGTCTTATTTTCAAGACATTATTTTTATCAGACTGAAGTCTTGGAACTATTTGATCTAGTTACTCTATGTTCTCAACTGTGTTAACTAATTGAAAACAACATTGTTATTAAAGGTATTCACAAGAAAAATTCAGAGTTACTGTTGCATATCCTTTCTCTGTTTCAAACTGTTTTCTCCTAAGCACCCAAGGCTCTGTGATGTCTGAAACAGTTAATCATTAATTTTAAAAGATAAGCTTATCGTGGAATTAGAAAAAAAAACTATTTTAAAATTCATATGGATCCAATAAGAGCTCATATAGCAAAGAGAATACTAAGCAAAAAGAACAAAGCTGGAGGCAGCACACTACCCCACTTAAAAGTATACTGTGAGGCTACAGTAAACAAAACAGCATGATACTGGTACAAAAACAGGCACATAGACCAATGGAACAGAATAGAGAATTCACAAAAAAAGTCCGCACATCTACAACCATTTGATCTTCAACAAACCTGACAAAAACAAGCAACGGGGAAAGGATTCCCTATTTAATAAATGGTGATGGGAGAACTGGCTAGCCATATGCAGAAAATTGAAACTAGACCTCTTCCTTACACCTTACACAAAAATTAACTCAAGATAGATTAAAGACTTAAATGTAAAACACAAAATTATAAAAACCCTGAAAGAAAATCTAGGCAATACCATTCAGGACACAGGCATGGGCAAAGATTTTATGATGAAATCGCCAAAAGCATCTGCCACAAAAGCAAAAATTGGCATATGGGATCTAATTAAACAAAAGAGCATCTGCACAGAAAAAGAAACTATCAGAGTGAACAGACACCCTACAGAATGGGAGAAAATTTTTGCAATCTATCTATCTTACAAAGGTCTAATATTCAGAATCTATAAAGAACTTAAGCAAATTTACATGAAAAAAAACTTCATTAAAAAGTGAACAAAGGACATGAAGAGACATTTCACAAAATAAGACGTACATGTGGCCAAAAAAACATGAAAAAAAGCTCAACATCACTGATTACAGAAATGCAAATCAAAACCACAAATGAGATACCATCTAATGCCAGTCAGAATGGCAATTATTTAAAACTACATAAACACCAGATGCTGGCGAGGTTGTGGAGAAATAGGAAGGCTTTTACACTGTTGCTGGAAATGTAAATTGGTTGAACCATTGTGGAAGACAGTTTGGTGATTCCTCAAAGATTTAGAACCAGAAATACCATTTGACCCAGCAATCCCATTACAGGGTATACATCCAAAGGAAAATAAATCACTCTATTATAAAGATACATGCATGTGTATGCTTATTGCAGCACTATCCACAATAGCAAAGACATGGAATCAGCCCAAATGCCCATCAATGATGTACTGCATTAAGAAAATATGGTACATATACACCATGGAATATTATGCAGCCACAAAAAGGAATGAGATTCAGTCCTTTGCAGGGATATGGATGAAGCTGGAAGCCATCCTCAGCAAACTAACACAGGAACAGAAAGCCAAACACCACATGTTCTCACTTATAATTGGGAGATGAGCAATGAGAACACATGGACACAAGGAGAGGAACATCACACACTGGTGCCTGCTGGGGGAGGGCAGTGGTGGGAGGAGTATTAGGAAAAAATAGCTAATGCATGCCAGGGTTAATACATAGGTGATGGTTTGATAGGTGCAGCAAACCACCATGGCACACATTTACCTATGTAACAAACCTGCGCATCCTGCACACATAACCTGGAACTTAAAATTAAATTAAATTAAAAGACAAGCTAAAAGGGTTAACGAAAAATAATTAGATAAAAAAATTTTGATTCTCAAAATCCTGAAACAAGAGTTTTAAATTTGCTTTTAATATATATTCAAATCCTTTAATACTGTTCCCTTCCAGAGATGCTGCTTAATTTCCTCTCTTGAGTGTGGCTTGGACTTAATGATGCATTTCTGATATGGTCTGGCTCTGAGTTCCCACCAAATTCTCATCTTGAATTGTCATGCAAATTGTAATCCCTATGTATCGGGGGAGGGACCTCCTGGGAGGTGATTGGATCACGGGTATGGTACCCCCATGCTGCTCTTATGATGCTGAGGGAATTCTCATGAGATCTGATGGTTTTATGAGGTATTTTTCCCCACTTCGATCTGCAATTCTCTCTCCTGCCACCATGTGAAGAAGGACGTGTTTGCTTCCACTTCTGCCATGATTGTAAGTTTCATGGGGCAGCCTTCTCAGCAATGCAGAACTATGAGTCAATTAAACCTCTTTCCTTTATAAATTACCCAGTCTCAGGTATTTCTTTATAGCAATGTGAGAACGGACTAATACAACTTCTAACTGGTAATGCTGACATAACAGTTTGTGACTCTGGGTGTAGAACATAAAACTCACTGCAGCCTCCCCCTTCTCTCTCAATGTCTCTGGAATCATGAGCTCTGGGGGAAGCCACCTGCTGTGCCATAAGCAGCCCTGAAGGAAGGTCCATGTGGCTGAGAACTGGGGCCTTCTGGGAACAGACAACAAGGAACTAGGGCTTTTCCAACAGCCATGTGACCCATCCATGTTTCATGTGAATCCTCAGTCCCAGTGAAGCACTCAGATGATGCAGGCCTAGGCTGACAACTGGACTGCAACCTTGTGAGAGGCCCTGAGCAAGAAGCACTCAGGGAAACCTCTCCTGGATTCCTGACCATTGGAACCTGCGGGAGATGATGAATATTTGCCATTTTGAGCTGCTAAGTTTTACATAATTTGTTATGCAATAGTAAATAACTAACACATTTTCACAAAAGAGGATGTAGTATTACACATTAATTTGCATTTGCTCTAAATTTATCATTATTATTAATATTATTGTTATTGAGACAGGGTCTCGCTCTGTCGCCCAGGCTGGAGTGCAGTGGCATGATCACCATGCACTGCAGTGTCGACTTCCTGGGCTCAAGGGACCCTCTTATCTCAGCGTCCTGAGTAACTGGGACTACAGGCATGAAGCACCACGCCTGGCTAATTTTCTAAATTTTTTTGTAGAGATGGGGGTTTCTCCATGTTGCCCAGGCTGATCTTCAACATCTGGAGTCAACAAATCTGCCTTCCTCTGCCTTCCACGGTGCTAGAATCACAGGCGTGAGCCACCACACCTGGCCTAAATTAATTATAAGACATTACACATGTAACTTAGTTTTAAAAGGTAAGGAGAATGTCCATGGCTGAAGAGGATGCATTTTATTACCATTCACAATGATCACTTTACTTGAACTTCAATTTCCAACTGTGTCCAAATTAAACACAAAAGGAAGATCCAACCCTTGCTGGGCTGATTCTTTGATGGCCCCCAACAGCCACCTCCCGGTCATTCACTTTCCCCCAGTTATTCAAGCAACTCTAGTGTAGATGCTGCTGTGAAGGGATTTAGCAGATATAACTAAGGGCCTCAATTAGTTGACTTTAGGCTGGGTTTATCCTGCTTTGACTGTCCTAATTAGGTGAGTCCTTGAAAGGTCTGTGTTCTTCCTGAGCATAGAGATTTGCAGTGTGAGAGGGATTCAGCATGAGGGGTTTCCTCTACCGTGGGCTTTGAAAATGAAGAGGCTGTGTAGGAAAGAACACTGTTAGGCACCAGGAATTGAGCACAGCCCTGCCTATTCTCTGTATTGACAGCCAGCAAGGAACAGAAACCTCAGTCTTACAACTGCCAGAAACTGCATTCTGCCACCTCTGTATAAGCCTGAAGGAGGATTCAAAATGAAAACACAGCTTTTGGAAGCCCAGAACAGGGATTCTATCCACATCTTGCCCAGATTTCTGACCAAGGAAGTATAAGCAGATAAATGGGTGTTGTTTTGCCAGTCGTGGTAGTGCACGAATGAATTGATGAATTGATATGCACACTAATTACATAAAATAAAATCTTTAACTTTTTCAGTATTTTACATTTTATAATTTTCTGTGATGCAATTTAATAGACTCATATTTCATTCATTCAGTCAAGAAAAATTAATTTAATCCCTACAATGAACCAGGTGTGCCCTCATATGCTCACGTGCCTGACATTCCAGAAGCTTCACAAGACCAAGGTGGAGCCAGTGGAATGTTTTAGGTGGAGAAATGACACACTCTGACTCACAGGAGCAGGACCACTGTGCAGAGAACAGTCACGTAGCAGGTAATGGGACAGTGCTAGTGTCACAAATAAGGAGTGACAAGGTGGTGGGGACTAAGGGGAGAGGAGGGCCTGAGGGATGAGAGGAATGGAGGGAAGGGCTGGAGATGCAGGAGGTGAGGAAATGGAGCAGAGGGAAAGAATTCGAAAGCAGCAGAACTCAGGTTTAAACACATTGTTTTATATATTTTAATACATCAATCTACAGAGCCTTGCAGGGTGATCTTTGCAGTTGGCCTTTAATACCTTATGTGGGTCTGCCTAAAAACTAATTTTTTTATGTTAATCAGGTTTAAAAAATACTAAGTGTTCATATAAAATATACACAACACTTAGAAGTGGATACTTCCTAAAAACAGGCAGTGCATGAGCACTGGTGAGGGGCATTGTGACTGCATTGAGTGCTTGCCACTGTGAGGTGAATAAAGTCTGTACTGGCTCCTGGTTACAACATATAGTAACACAGTGGCTACCTTGTATTAGGAGATGTCCTGGACTCACACAGAAACTCAGGGCTATGGAATGAAGGTAAATTTAAAATACTACAAGCGGGAGTCACAGATACATTGTCTGGGAAAGTGAAACTTAGGAGCTTTGTGATTCCTGTTGTAATGCTTTTAGACACATTTATATGTCAAGGGACCAAAGTCACATTTTTGGCCAATTAGATTCCTGATCATTAGGAGTTACCAAGATTCTGCTACCCACTGTAGTTAATAAACAAAAAGCAAACTGGTCTCTATTCTATCTCATGCACTCAGGCACAACTTTTCCAGATTTAAAAAACAAACAAACAATAACAACAAAAAACCCTGTCTCTACACCTCCATTCCCAGGGCAAGCTCACTCTCTGGCAACAAGCTCCCTGGAGTGATTTTTCTTCTAGAAGAGTCCACGGGGACAGGTAAGGAGTAGGAGGCAGGGAGTCCAGTTCTGGGACGGGGATTCCGTGATGCAAAGTGAAGAGAGAGGAACGGGGCCCATTTCGAGGGTTTCTCCCTGGTTTCTCAGACAGCTCCTGGGCCAAGACTCGGAAACGTTGAGACAGAGCGCTTGGCACAGAAGTAGCGGGGTCAGGGCGAAGTCCCAGGGCCTCAGGCATGGCTCTCAGGATCTCAGGCCCCAAAGGCGGTGTATGGATTGGGGAGGCCCAGCGCTGGGGATTCCCCATCTCCGCAGGGTTTCTCTTCTCCCTCTCCCAACCTGTGTCGGGTCCTTCTTCCTGGATACTCACCAGGCTGCCCCAGTTCTCACTCCCATTGAGTGTCGGGTTCCTAGAGAAGCCAATCAATGTAGCCGCGGTCCCGGTTCTAAAGTTCCCACGCACCCACCGGGACTCCGATTCTCCCCAGTCGCCGAGGATGGTGTCATGGCGCCCCGAACCCTGCTTCTGCTGCTCTCGGGGGCCCTGGTCCTGACCCAGACCTGGGCAGGTGAGTGCGGGGTCGGGAGGGAAACGGCCTCTGTGGGGAGTAGCTAGGGGCCTGCCCGGCGGGGGCGCAGGAACCCGGTTGCGGTGCCGGGAGGAGGGTCGGGAGAGTCTCAGCCCCCTCCTTGCTCCCAGGCTTCCACTCCTTGAGGTATTTCCACACCACCATGTCCCGGCCCGGCCGCGCGGATCCCCGCTTCCTCTCCGTGGGCGACGTGGACGACACGCAGTGCGTGCGGCTCGACAGCGACGCCACGAGTCCCAGGATGGAGCCGGAGGGGCCGGAATATTGGGAAGAGGAGACAGGGACCGCCAAGGCCAAAGCACAGTTTTACCGAGTGAACCTGCGGACCCTGAGCGGCTACTACAACCAGAGTGAGGCCTGTGAGTGACACCGGCCGGGGGCGCAGATCACTACCCCTCTACATCCCCCACGGACCGCCCGGGTCTCCCCGAGTCTCTGGGTCCGAGATCCACGCCGAGGCAGCGGAACCTGGAGACCCTTTACCCGGGAGAGGCCCAGGAGCCGTTACCCGGTTTCATTTTCAGCCAAAATCCCCGCAGGTTGGTCCTGGCGGGGGCGGGGCTCGGTGGGCGGGGCTGGCCGCGGGGGCGGGGCCAGGGTCTCACACCCATCTAGAGGATGTCTGTCTGCGACGTGGGGTCGGACGGGCGCCTACTCCGCGGGTATCACCAGCTTGCTTACGATGGCAAGGATTCCATCGTCCTGAACGAGGACCTGTGCTCCTTGACAGCCGCAGACACGGCGGCTCAGATCACCCAGCTCAAGTGGGAGGCGGCCCGGGGGGCGGAGGTTCATCCTCACAGGGATAGGCACCTATTAGATGTGGTGTGGTTTTCCTCTCTACTCTTAGACCCTCAGCCAGTATCACTATTGGCATTCCTGAGCCACTGGCTCAGAATTTCAGTACATTATCTGCCCGCGGGACACACCTCAGAGGGAAGGGGATGAAGCGTGGGCCATGATGACCATGGAATCCCCTGGTCTTATCACCACCTGCACCTCCCAGGGGCTGCCAGCCACACAGAGTCATGGACAGGTCTCTACAGACACAACTTAGTGCCAGCTTGGATGAAACCCTCTGAGGAATGGCTGCCATCTTTCAGGATGTGGTGCATGTATTGAATCAAAGATGTCTCTATAGTGCTGTGTTTACAGAAGGAAGAATACGTGGGTCCAAAAACCAAGAAGTAGAAGCAGGTGTGGCTCCATATCTAAACCCTTATATTCACCTTCAGGGTGATTTTGCACTTCTCATCTCCAATATCTGGGCTCTGTAGGGGAGGAGGTCCTGGTTTCCCAAAGGGGGCACCCTGGCAAGGAGACATTTAAATGAGAGTCCATGGAACTACACCTTATGGCTGCCCCCAGGGATGTTTGAATAGTATGTGTCCAGACACAAGAAGGTGAGAAGAGGAGGAGGCAGGGCTGCTATCACACAAGGAGGGCAGGAGATGTGTGTGTGGAAATAAGAGATCCACTTGGAGACCTTATGGTTCCCCTTGTCCTGTTGTAAGTGTGAGCAGAATCATCCAGCAACCCAGCCTGAGAGGGTTTCATATTCAAGAGCCCAGAACCCTCAGGAAGGAAGGATTGAGCGATACTCATAGGTAATGTCCCAAGGCTGTGCTCCTGTGCTCTGACATCCTCAGCAGGATTGGTGCAAAGCCCTGCTTCCCATGGGCTGTTCCCAGCCAGTGACTGGTCACAGCAGGCGTTAAGGCAAGCCATTCCTGGGAGACACGGGACTCCTCTGATGGCCAACTGTAGCTGGAAGGCTCCTCCACGGCCTTGCTCAACTCTCCTTAGATTGCCTGTGCTCTAGGATGCGTCGAACAAACTTTCTCTCCTTCTGTCCAGCACTTGGGGTCACACTTGCATCGTGGTCTGCCGCCTTTTCCAGGGATTTCTGGCTCACTTCCCATATTCCCTTACGGGTGTGTCCCCTCATAAGATGTCGCAGACTTTAAGCTCATCTTGGCATCTGCTCCTTGAAGGACTTGGACTAAAAATTATTTCCATCTGCATATCAATAACTCTTATTCCAACCTGTAAAATCCTTCTCTTTATCCAACTTCTGCCACCCCCACAGAATCTATTTTACTTGTGTGTGTAGTATCTCTTTGAGTTAACAGATATTTGTTCTATTAAGCTACTAAATTTTGAGGTAGTTTGTGACACAGCACTAGATAACTATTAAGGCTTTCTTAAGTTTCCATTTTCCATGGATATTATCTACATATCTTTTAATCCCTTGCATTTTAATAACATTAGCTATACTTGCTGTTTCCAACTCTTTCCTCCTATTTTTGAACATTTTCAAATTTTGTCTTTCTCTGTCCTTCCTTCCTTCTTTCCTCCTTTCCTCCCTCAGAGCTTTCTCCCTCCCTCCATTTTTTTTCATAAACTCCAAGTGTTTAGGCCAAAAGGAAGCATTATTTGAACTTTATGCTAAAAGTATAATGCCGTAATTTATAATATAAAAGTAAAGAAAAGGAAGTTGTTAATGGAATATGAAAAAATGCCTAGGGTGATTCTATAGCCAAGACAGTACCTTTTAACATTTAATTTCTGTCTCCAACTGAATGTTTTCAGAACACATGAGCAACACAAGCTCTTTCCCATTCTTGGTACAAGCACTTGAGAAATCAAATTAGCCTTATCTAGTATGATTAATGTCCATACATCATATAATCCCACCATCTGCCTCCTGATCATACCCCCTGGGGACATTCTTGGCTATGTGTCCAGGAGACATGTACACCAATGTTTATGGCAAAAACTAGAAACAATCACATATACATCAATGGGAATTAACAAAATTGTCGTATAATAATAAAAAGTAAAACTTCAGCAGCAACAGTGAATGAACAGCACCCTCCCACATCAGAGATAACTCTCCTACACATAACATGCATCAGCATCACAGAAGAATGCACATTGTGTGAGTTCTCTGTACGGGGAAGTTTAAAAAAGCAGGTCAAACTGTGATTTGGATATATATATACTTATTGTAAAAATCTTTAGAGACAATGAAAAGGAATAGTAAATACAAGACTCAAGATAGAAGTTCCTTTTGGGGAATAGAATTGGACAACAGCCGAGGGTGGCTTCATAGGTTTTGTTTTTTATGCCAGGAGGGGATGTCCAGGTAGTTAAGTTACTTGATCATAAATCTTTATTTATTTATTTATTTATTTATTTTCGAGATGGAGTCTCCCTCTTGTTGCCCAGGCTGGAGTGCAGTGGCGTGATCTCAGTTCACTGCAACCTCCGCCTCCCAGGTTCAAGCAATTCTCCTACCTCAGCCTCCTGAGTAGCTGGAATTATAGGCATCCACCACGACACCCAGGTAATTTTTGTATTTTTAGTAGAGACGGGGTTTCACCATATTGTCCAGGTTGGTCTCAAACTCCTGACCTCAGGTGATCCACCAACTTCGGCCTTCCAAAGTGCTGGGATTACAGACATGAGCCACCATTCCCGGCCCACAAATCTTTAAAGTGTCATTTTTCAAAATGCACCTTGTGTGCCATTCCTGACTGATTATTTGGAAATGAAAGAGAAAAGAAAATACCAAAGTTCATCTCAAGGATCCTTAGCAATAACTACACACGTTAAAACAAAGCCACAGCCAATTGTAAAGAGTCATGTGACAGAGAGGACCAGGATCTCATGAAAAATAGCCTTGGCTAGAAAGAGGTCATTTGACCCTGGGCTAATTGGCAACTCTCTACATTGTCTGGCATACAGTGTTCAATCTGATGTGCAAGGCAATTGTATCTTGCAAAGAATTTGAGAATTTGATATGTTGCTCACATTTTACCACACATACAAGTGGATTAAACTTTTACACAGTAAAAAAAAAAGCATTGTTGAGCAAAATAAATTAAATGAAAAGACATAAAGGAATAACTAGTGATGAAATAGCAATAAGAATGGAAAACATGAAAGAGATGCTTGTACAGCAATGATAGCAGCACAAAAGAACAGTGTTTTTCAGAATCATACTGGAGTCCAAATCACTTCTACTACATCTAATTTAAAAACACAGTGAAAGATGTTAAACTTTCATAGGATGCCCACTGAATAGCCAGTTATTGAAAAATCTTGTTCCTAGATTGGAGTAAACAATTTCTGCTTACCCTAGCCAAACAAATTATTGTCATGATGCTAAGCTAGTGTATAGACAGAGGTGTGAGATTCACATTTTTCTAGCTGCAAAGCACCCTGATTAGGCAAATATTTTTGTAGATGCTTGAGTAAGAAAATTGGCATTTTGGGCATTCTTAAACCGAATTAGAAACTTCTGAAGAGAAACAAACATAGTTACGATTGTAAAGGCATTATTGTATGGCACCAAAGTCTTGGGACACTTTAATTTAGCTACTGTATTTTCTCAACTCTGTTGCAACTTATCAAAGAGAACATTAATATTAAAGGCATTTACAAAAAAAATCTGAGATATTGTTGTATCTTCTTTCTCTGTCTCAAATATTTAATCAACTTTACAGAAGAGAATTTTAAAGTATTAAAAAAAGTCAGATACAAGAAGTATTTGATTTACAAAACCCTGAAACAATAATGTTAATTTTGCTTTTAACATGTTTATAAATTCTTTGATACTCCTCCTTTCCAGAAGTGCAGCTTCATTCCCTCCCTGTTCGTGTAGCCTGGACTTAATGACTCACTTCTAACTGATAGAGTAATGCTGACTTAATAGTTTGTGATTCTGGGTGTAGAACATAAGACTCACTGAAGTTTCTACTTTGGTTCTTTCTTTCTCTGGAATCATGAGCCCTGGGGGAAGCTGGCTGTTGTGTCATAAGGAGGCCTGTGGTCCATGTGACTAGGAAGTGAGTCCTCCTGGGACCAGACAATAAGAAGCTAAAGCCTCTTCCAAAAGCCATGTGAGAGATTCTTGTGTCTTGTGAATCCCTGGCCCCATTTGAGCCCTCAGGTGATTCAGCCCTGGAAGACAACTAGACTGCAACGTTGTGAGAGGCCCTGAGCCAGAAGCATTCAGAGAAACTTCTCCTGGATTCCTGACCATGGATAACTGTGGGAGATGATAAATATTTGTTGATTTGAGCTGCTAAGTTGTAGGTGACTTGTTATGCAGCAGTAGATAACTAATACAGCTTCACAAGAGAGGATGAATCACTGAACTTTTTCATTTGCTCTAAATTCATTATAAGATATTAAACATGTCATTTGCTTTTAATATTTAATAAAAATTTCCATGGCTATATAAGATATATTTTATTATCATTAACAATGATCTATTTTTTGATCTTCAACTTGTATGTTCTATTTAAACATGAAAGGAAGATCCAGGCTATGCTAGGCTGATTCTATGATGACACCCCAATAACCACCCTTGGTTACTCAGGTTACCCCAGTTACTCAGTTGACACTAAAGCAGGTGCTGCTGTGAAGAGGTTTTGCAGATATATTTAAAGTCCCCAGTCAGTTGACTTTAAGATGAGGATTATCCTGCTTAGACGGTCCTAATCAGGTAAGCTCTGAAAAGGATTGGGTTCTTCCTGAGAATAGAGACTCACAGTGTGAGAGGGATTCAGCGTGAGGGGCTTCCTCCACTTTGGGCTTTGAAAATGGAGGGATCATGGGGAAAGAACACTGGTGGCCAATAGGAATTAGAAGCCCTCCCCACTGTCTACTCTGATAGCCCGAAGGAAACAGGGACCTTAATCCTACAATTGCCAGAAACCGAATTCTGCCAACAAACTCTACACAAGCTTGGGGGAGAACCCCAATCTTAAGATGAGGATACAACTTTGCGAAACTCTGAACAAAGAGTCTATCACGTTAGGCCTGGATTTCTGATGAAGGAAATGTAGACAAATAAATGGGTGCTGTTTTCAGCCACTAAGTTTGTGGTAATTGGTTATGTACTGCCAGGAAATAAATAAACAGATTCAAAGGATAAGTATATGACATTTTCTCCACCGGAATGAATTCATGAACTGATATGCATAGTAGTTGCATAAAACCAAATATTTCCTAACTTGCTTTGCATTTTCCATTTCATGATTTTTGTGTGATACAATTTTGAACACAATTATATTTCATTCATTCATTCAACAAAAATTAACTTAGTGCCTACTATGTGGCAGATATACTTTTATATTCTGTAGATACAACTTTGATCAAAACAACCCAAAGCCCCTGTGCTTGTGCCTTCCATTCTAGAGGCTTCTTGAGAGTAAGATGGAGCCATTAGAGGCTTTTAAGTGAAGAAATGAAACAATCTGACTCACATTAGCAGGATTGCTGACCTTTGTGGGGAGAACAGTCATGGGCAGCAGGCAAGGGACAGAGCTAGGGCCAGGGACAGAGCTAGGGCCACAATTCAGTAGTGACAGAGTAGTAGAGACTAAGGGGAGAGGAGGGCCTGAAGGATGACAGGAACAGAGAGAAGGGCTGGAGAAGCAGGAGGTGAGGTAAAGGAACAGAAAGAATTCTAAAGCAATGGAATTCTCAGACTTAAATACAGTGTTTTATAGATTTTTAATGCATTTATCCGCAAAGCCTGGCACAGTGTTACTTGCACCTTGGTCTTTAATGCATTCTGTGGGGCTGTCTAAAACCTAATTGCCTCTCTAAGATAAAAAGGTTAAAAAAGGCCGGGCACGGTGGCTCACGCCTGTAATCCCAGCACTTTGGGAGGCCGAGGCGCGTGGATCACAAGGTCAGGAGATCGAGACCATCCTGGCCAACATGGTGAAACCCCGTCTCTAATAAAAAATTACAAAAAAAATTAGCCGGGCGTGGTGGCGGTCGCCTGTAGTCCCAGCTACTTGGGAGGCTGAGGCAGGAGAACGGCGTGAACCCGGGAGGCGATGCTTGCAGTGAGCGAGATTGCACCACTCCAGCCTGGGCGACAGAGCGAGACTCCGTCTCAAAAAAAAAAAAAAAGGTTAAAAAAGAATACCAAATGTCTCAATAAAATATACACATAGCTTAGATGTGAATAATTCATAATAATAGGCAAGTGCATGGGCCGGCCATTATAGCTCATGCCTGTAATACCAGCATTTTGGGAGGTTGAGGCGGGAGGATTGCTTGAGCCCAGGAGTTCAAGACCAGCCAGAGCAATTTAGGGAGACCTCATCTCTACAAATATTATTTTTAGAAAAATTAGCCAGGAGTGGTGGCACAAGCCTGTGGTGCCAGCTACTTGGGAGGCTGAGGGAGGAGCATTGATCACATGAGCCAAGGAGGTAGAGGCTTCAGTGAGTCATGAGCGTGCCACTGCACTTTAGCCAGGGTAACAGAGTGACGCCCTGTCTGTAAATAAATAAAAAATAAAAAAATTAATAATAAAGGGAGTGCATGAGCACTGGCGAAGGGCACTTTGGCTGCATTAAGCACTTGCAATTCTGAGGTAATTAAATTCTGTACAGGCTCCTGGTTGCAATATACGGTAATACATTGTGCTTTGTATTGAGATGTCCTGGACTCGCACACACAAACTCAGAGCTATGAAATAAAGATACTGTAAAAATACAACAGACCAGAGTCACAGATACACAGTCTAGGAAAGTAAAACTTCACTTTGTGAGTCTAATTGCAATGCGTTTAGACATATTTATATATAGTGGGGCCAAAAATCATCTCTTTTACAAATTAGATTCGTGACCATTCAGGGGCTACCAAGATTGTGCTACCCACTGTAGCACAATCGGAGACCCACCCCGAGGCTGCGAGACTCGTGGAGACCCTCGACACAAGAACCCCAGGTGCCTATACCCGATTCCATTTTCAGTTCAGGCCCAAATCCCCGGGGGATTGATCGGGGCAGAGGAGGAGCTCAGTGGCTGAGGCTCAGTGGCTGAGGCTGACCGCGGGCTTGGGGACAGGGTCTCCCACCTCCAGTGGATACACAGCTGCGACCTGGACCCGGACCGGAGCCTCTTCGCGCGGGGATGAACATACCCTACGATGGCGCCAGTTACCTCGTCCTAAACCAGGAACTGCTCTCTTGGACCGCAGCGGACAAGGCGGCTCAGATGTTTTGGAGGAGGAACATGCAGAGCTGCTCAAAACCTACCTGCCCGGAAGGTGGGCGGAGTGGCTCAGCAAAGGCCTTAAGAATGAGGAGAGTCTGCAATGCGCAGGTACCAGAGGCCACGGGGCGCTTCCCTGATCTCCTGCAGATATCCCTGAGCCACCTTCCAAAAGAAGGGAGGAAAATGGGACCAACGCTAAAATATCCCTCTCCCTCTTGTCCTGAGGCAGAAGAGTCCTCCTGGGTTTCTAAATCCTATACCAGAGAGTGACTGAGGGCCCGCCCTGCACTCTGGGACAATTAACGGATGAAGTCTCTGCGGGAAAGGAGGGGAAGACAATCCCTGGAATACTGATACGCGGTCCCCTTTGACCCCCCAGCAGCCTTGGGCACCAGGAATTTTCCTCTCAGGCCTTGTTCTCTGCCTCATACTCAATGCGTGTGGGGGTCTGATTCCAGCTCTTCTGAGTCCCTCGGCCTCCACTCAGGTCAGGACCAGAAATCTCTGTTTCCGCCTCAGACACTAGAACTTTCCAAGGAATAAGAGATTATCCCAGGTGCCTGTGTCCAGAATGCTGTCTGGGTTCTGTGCTCCCTTCCCCACCCCAGGTGTCCCGTCCATTCTCAGGATGGTCACATGGGTGCTGTGTCTCATGAGGAATGCAAAGTGCCTGAATTTTCTACCTCTTGCCCTCAGATCCCCTGAAGGCACAGGTAACCCACCACCCCATCTCCAACTATGAGGCCACGCTGAGGTGCTGGGCCCTGGGCTTCTACCCTCTGGAGATCACACTGACCCAGGAGCGGGATGGGGAGGACCAAATTCAGGATGCAGAGTTTGTGGAGACCAGACTTGCAGGGTACAGAACCTTCCAGAAGTGGGCAGCTGCAGTGGTGTCTTCTGGAGAGAAGCAGAGGTACACATGCCATGTGCAGCATGAGGGGTTGCCTGAGCCCCTCACACTAAGATGGGGTAAGGAGACGAATGAGAGGTCATGTCTCTTCTCAGGCAAAGCAGAAGTCCTTCTGGAGCCTTTAAGCAGGGTCAGGGCTGAGGCCTGGGGGTCAGGGCCCCTCACGTTCACCTCCTTTCTTAGAGCTGTCTTCCCAGCCCATCATCCCCGTTGTGGGCATCATTGCTGGCCTGGTTCTTCTCGTTGCTGTATTCACTGTAGCTGTGGTCGCTGCTGTGATGTGGAGGAATAAGATCCCAGGTAGGAAAGGGGTGAGCTCTGAGTTTCCTTCTTCCATTGGTGGATTTCAAGCCCCAGGTAGGAGTTGGCTCATATCTTGCCTAGTTGTGAGGCACCATCTCCACACACATTTACCCTGTTCAGAGGCCCTGTCTATCAACACTTACTCTTTTGTAAAGCACCTGTGAAAATGAAGGACAAATTTATCACCTTGATTGTGGTCATGGGAACCTGACTCCCAGCAGTCACAGGTCAGGGGAAGGTCCCTGCTGAGGACAGACCTCAGGAGGACAACTGGTCCAGCCTCAACACATCCTCTTCCCTTGGGTTTTCTGATCCTGACCTGGGTCTGTAGTCACAGTTCTGGAAACTTCTCTAGGATCTCATGCCCTGCCTCCTCCCTGGCCTCTCACAGTTTGTTTTCTTTCCACAGATGGAAAAGGAGGCAGTTATGCTCAGGCTTCATGTAAGTGTGGTAGGGGTGGGAAGAGTGATCCCTGAGATCCTTGGGATAGTGTAGACAGGAGCCCATGGGGGAGCTCAGCCACCCCAAAATTCCTCCTTTAGTCACATCACCTGTGGGCTCTGACCAGATTTTGTTTTTGTTCCACCCCAAACAGGAACAGTACCCAGGGCTCTGATGTGTCTCTCACGGCTTGTAAAAGTGACACCTTAGAGGGCCTGAAGTGAAAGAGGAGTTGGGCAGAGGGGACACAACTAAGCTCTGGAGATTCTTTGATTTGGAATTTTTCAAGGTGTGGTGGGCTGTTCAGTGTCACAACTTACTGTGACTGACCTGGATTAGTTTATGACTATGTTTTTTCTAAGATTGCCTTGTGAGGGACTGAGATGCAAGATTTGTTCATGCCTCCTCTTTGTGACATTAAGGGCCTCTGGCTTCTCTTTCTGCCAAAGCATCTGAATGTGTCTATGTCTACAGTAACAGGTAAGAAATGGGAGACCAGCCCATCCTCATGTCCACCATGACCCCTGATATTGTTTGGATCTGTGTCCCCACACAAATCTCATGTTCAATTGTAATCCCTAATTTTGGAGGTGGTGTCTGGTGGCAGGTGATCGGCTCATGAGGATGGATCCTTCATGAACGGTTTAGAACCATCTCTTTGGTGCTATTCTTGTGATAATTCTCATAAGATCTGGTGTTTAAAAATCTGTGTCACCTCCCTGCTCTCTCTCCCTCCTGCTCCAGGCATGTAAGTAATGTCTGCTTCCCCTTAGCCTTCCAGCATAATCGAAAGTTCCCTGAGGCCCTCTCATAAGATGAGCAGATGCCAGAATCATACTTTCTGTATAGCCTGCAGAACCATGACCCAATTTAAACCTCTTTTCTGTTTTTGTTTTGTTTTTGTTTTTTGAAGGAAAATTTATATTATTTTAATTATTTTTACATACAGAAAACTCAACAGCATACATTTCACCCAATTTAGTGGCATGTTCTTTACCCTTTGCCTTTTTGAGCTTGGCAATGCAAACCACATACTTGAGACCCAGGACACTGTCTCCCCAGTGACGGCGGATCTCATCATATCTGTCATTGTAATTGGTCCTGAGAACTTCCACCAGCTTAGCCAAAGCACCTTTGTCTTCCGAGTTAACCTGTGTGAAGGTGACAGTGGTGCAGGTCTTCCTATGGACTAGATGTCCCAGTCTTGCCTTCCCTTTGATAATGCAGTAAGGGACCCCATTTTATGACACAGGACAGGCAAGAAGACAACCAGCTTGATGGGATCTACATCATGTGCAATCACCACCAGCTGAGCTTTCTTGTTCTCCACCAAGGTGGTGATGGTGTTAACTCCTGCTCGAAGGACAGGTGGACTCTTAGTGGGGAATGTCCCCTTTGCCAGCAGCTTTCTTCTTGGCCCAGGCCAACAGCCTCTGCTTCTTCTCTTGGTTTGTCTCTGGTCTGTATTGTGGGCCAGCTTAAGCAGCAGAGTAGCTGTTTGGCTGTCTGGTGCCTGGGTGAACTGGTTAATCTCAGGAGGCACTTTCAGCCACTTATAGAGGATGGTTCTCTGCTGCTGCAACCTGATATAGCAGGGCCATTTCACAAAGTGGGTGAGGTGTCTTTTGGGCTGGATATCCTGTCCAGTGCCAAGATTCTTAGGCCTTTTCTCAAACAAGGGATTTACCACTTTCTTGGCCTCCTGCTTCTTCACGACAGCAGGGGCTGGAGCCACCTTCTTCTCCTTGGCCTTCTTTCCTTTTGGCATCTTGGATGGTGGGAGGAGAAAGAAAGAAACCTATTTTGTTTATAAATTACCCAGTCTCAGGTATTTCTTTATAAAAGTGTGAGAATGAACTAATTCAGAAAATCGGTACCGGGAGTTGGGTATTACTATAAAAATTGTTGAAAATGTGGAAACGGCTTTGGAACTGGGTAACAGGCAGAGGTTGGAAGAGTTTGGAGAGTTCAGAAGACAAGAAAATGGGGGAAAATTTGCAACTTCCTAGAGATTTGTTAAGCTGTTGTGACCAAAATGCTGATAGTGATATGGACAATGGAGTCCAGGCTGATAAGGTCTCACATGGAGATGAGGAACTTATTGGGACCTAGAGGAAAGGTCACTTTTGTTATGCATTGGCAAAGAACTTGGAGGCATTGTTCCCCCTCCCTAGGGATCTGTAGAACTTTGAACTTGAGAGTGATGTATAAGGGTATCTGGTGGAAGAAATTTCTAAGCAGCATAGCATTCCAGATTTGGCCTGCCTGCTTGTAATAGCCTATGCACATATGTGTGAGCAAAGACATGACCTGAAACTGGAACTGATATTTAAAGGGGAAATTTAATATCCAGGACAATTCCTAGTGGAGCTGCAGGAACAGGACCCCTGCCAAAACTACTAAATCATAGAGCCACTGGCAATATGCAAGCTCAGCCTGGAAAAGCCATAAGCATTCAATGTTCACCCATGAGAGCAGCTATATGGATTATGTTCACCAAAGCCACGGATATGAGGCTGAAGATGGCATTGTGAGTCCATTGCTTGCAGCAGCCAGTGTGCTCAGGGTTCAAGATATAGAGTCAAAGGAGATTATTTTAGAGCTTTAAGTTTTAATGTCTGCCATGATGAGTTTCAACCTTGTGAGGACACTGCATTCATTTCTTTTGGCCCATTTATTTCTTTTGGAATGGAAATGTATAGGAAATGTCTCTACCACTGTTGTATTAATATTTTAGAAGTAAATAACTTTTTTTAATTTTACAGGTGCACAGCTATAAGAACTTACCTTGAGTCTCAGATGAGACTTTGGAATTTAGAGTTGATGCTGGATCAACCCAACACATTTTGGACAATTGGGAGAAGATTATTGTCTTTTGCAATGTGAGAAGAATGTGAGCTTTGGCTGGCTAGGGACAGGATGCAATGATATAAATATTTATCCCCAGATACCTCATGTTAAAATCTGATCCCCAATGTTGGACTTAGGGCCTAATGGGTGGCGTTTGGGTCTTGGGGGCCAATCTTTTATGAACAGAGAGATACTGCCCTCTCTCGGGAGTCAATGAATTGTTGCCCTATTAGTTTCCAAAAGAGCTAGTTGTTAAAAGAGTCTCGCACCTTCCTACTCCCTCTGTTCCTCTCTTACCACGTGACTTCTGCACATACCAGCTCCCCTTTGCCTTCTGCCATGAGTGGAAGCAGCCTGAGGCCCTCGCTAAATGCTCAAACATTTCCAGACATCAGAATCCTGAGCCAAATGAACCTTGTTTATATAAATTAGTCAGTCTCAGACATTTCTTTATAGCAACACAAAACGGAATAAGACAACCCTCTCATCATAGGTATGTGTCTGTGGCAGCCAGCCCCCATTCTCAAGGTATCCAGGATCCACTCAGCCAAGAGTCCTTTCCTCAGTATTCTAAAGACACTCTAATCACTCAAGAGATTCTAAGGTTTTTAGGAGAAACCAGGGACAAGACTAAATGTTTTTGTGATAACTCATATTATCCCCTTTTCTTTGACCACATATTTTTCATACGAAAAGGATTATAACAGTAAAGAAGCATTGGCATATTATCCAAGTCTCATTCGGTCATTCAAAATTAGGCCAGTTTATCATCCTCTTGTATGAATATGTCTCCCAGAATGACATCACTCAGCTTTGCAGACACCACTCAATCTTAACAGGTTCCAAAAACAAGAATGGTCTCAGGGACACACAGCTTCACCCTTTTAGGCATCCAGTATAGTTGACCTAAGAGACAACATCTCTTGCTCACACCACTTTTGAGGAGATAAGCTAATATTGAATTTTCCTCATTACATAACCCTTTGATTTATTCACCTACCCTCAGCCACTATTCCTCCTTCTGTCCCTTTATATCAGTCTTTTCCAGTTCTAGAAGTGACATTAGGTTTGGCTGCTGTGCTGGCCTAGACTGCATGCAGCAACAGTATTCTACCATGTCTTCTCTTAATCTACTCTTGATCATAGACGGTAGGTTACATAGGTTAGGAACTAGTGCAGGCTATCTGACCACCAGTCTACGTAGCTCTACTTACAGTTAATCCCGACTTTGCCAGATGAAATGAAGGCACAGCGCAATCCTTGATTTGCTTGGGAATTCTTACATAAAGGTATAAAAATATAGTTATGGTTTTTTCCTTAGGGATAATTCCTGTTTCTGGCAGTTCGATTTGCATCCCTGTTCCTGGTACCACTGCACCCTGTGTAAAAAAAGAAATAAGAAATGAAGTGTAGTCATTATTCCAGCATCCTCCCCTTAAGAAGAATTGTATGTACAGTCATAACAGCATCACCCTGATCCATCAGGAAAAAGAGAGGAAGCTACCTAGTGGAGTCAGTTTCGCAGCTCCACCCATGTTGACAGTAAGCACATTCATGAAGATATAAAAGCCAGTCCTTCATGTTTATATTGCCCAACAATTATATTGGCAGTTTTTAGACAATTAGACAACCAATGTTTCAACTGACTATTTCTTTTTTTTTTTTTTTTTGAGATGGAGTCTCACTCTGTCGCCCAGGCTGGAGTGCAGTAGTATGATCTCGGCTCATGCAACCTCTGCCTCCCAGGTTCAAGCAATTCTACTGTCTCAACCTCCCAAGTAGCTGGTAATACAGGCGCCCACCACCACACGCAGCTAATTTTTGTATTTTCAGTAGAGACGGGGTTTCACCATATTGGTCAGGATAGTCTCAAACTCCTAAACTCAGGTGATCCGCCCGCCTCGGCCACCCAAAGTGCTGGGATTACAGGCATGAGCCACCGCGCCTGGTCAGCCATTTCAATATTCTATCAAAGTTTCCCCTGAATAGTACATTTCCCTGTGCATTGTTGGCTTTTTAAGGCTGTAAAGTGTGTTTTCTTGTGTAAAGAAATGTGACTCAACAGTCCAAATTGGTGTAATCTCCATTTTTCTGGTTCTTGTATAGCCCTTGAAGCATTGACATCTACCCCTGGTTGAACATAGCCCAATCCAGAGTCAGTGACTTCCCTGTCAAGATCCATTGGCAGCTCCTTTGGGGTTGCTGGCATTAGTCTGGCTTGCCAGCTATGAATGATCAAAGCTTCCCACTACAGAATCTGTCACAGAGCTGCCTCTGTCTGTTTTCTTGACCAAAAGTCAAAACAGACAGTACGAGAAATGAGATAAATTACCAAAATTGTGAACACAAGAGAGAGTATCACTAATGACCCTTTAGAAGTTAAAAATCATTATAAGTTAATACTCTGAAAAACCTGAAGCCAATCAGTTAGACCACTTAGATAAAATGGACAGATTTATACAAAGATAGAAATTGCTGAAACTGACTCAAAAATAGATAGAAAATCTGAAGAGAACTGTACACTAAGACAGTAATTTTAAAACCTTCTCACAAAGAAATGCCAAAGCCCAGATATCTTCACTGGTGAATTCTATCAAATATTTCAAAAGCTCTTTCAGACAAGAAGAGAGGAGGCAAGACTTTCTAGCTCATTTACAGAACTGACATTACCCTAATATCAAAGTCAGAGCAAGACTGACAAGAAAAGAATACCATAGACCAGTGTCACCAATAAACATAAATGAAAACATCCTTAACAAACATTGGCAGACAATAGAAAGCCACGTAAAAAAGGATTACATTCCATGACCAATGGGATTCATCCCAGGAATATATGGCTGGATTAACAATTAGAAATCAATTAATGGAATGCACTGTAGTAAGGGAATAAAAGACATAATTATCTCAAAAGATACAGAAGAAACAGTTGACAAAAATGTTAACACCACTCATGTTCATAAGTTTCAACAAAATAGGAATGGAGGGGACCTTCCTCACCCTGATAAAGGGCATCTATAAAAAACCCACAACTAAAATCATGCTTGCTGAAGAAAGACTGAATGCTTTTCTCCTAAGATGGAGATCAATGCAAGGATGTCCAATCCAACACTTCTATTTAACATTGTACTGGAGATTGCAGCTGGTGCAATAAGGCAAATAATTAAAAGTTAAAGGCATCCAGATAAAAAGGAAAACATAAAACTCTATTCACAGATAACATGACCTTGTCTGTAGAATTCACAAGCAGATAAAAGCCTGCTAGCACTAAAAAATGAATCCAGAAGCTCCCATAGGATATAAACTCAAATTAAAAATTATTAACATATTTCTCTATACAAGCAATTAAAATCTAAACTTTCCTATCACAGTAGTTACAAAAAGAGAGAAACAGGAATAAATTTAGGAAGACAGCAGAGTTTGTTTGTTGAAAACTACAAAACATTACTGAGAGAAATTAAAGGTCTAAATTCATGGATAGATGCGGTTGGAAAGCTCAATAATATTGTTAAGATGGCAATTCTCCACCAAGAGATCTATAGGTTCTGTACAATCTCTATCAAAACCCCAGCAGGCATTTTATGGAAAATTGACAATTTAATCCTAAAAATGTATGTGAAAATGCAGAGGATGCAGAAAAGCCAACGCAAATTTGAAAAAAAATGGAATGTCATATAAAACTACAATAATCCAGACAGTGTGAAAGCGAGAGACACAGAGATTAATGAACAGAAGTGAGAATCTAGAAAGACATTCTTACATTTTTTTGTCAATTGATCTTCAATGAAGTTGCATAGGTAATATGATGTGACACTTATCGCCATATAAAATATAAGCTCAAACAAATTAGAGACCTAAACAGCTAAAATTTGTAAGTTAAAACCATAAAATTTCTAAAAGAAAATATAGGAGAAAATTTTTGTGACATTGAGTAGTTAGGCAAAAGATTCTTACATAAAATACAAAAAACATGATCTACAGATGAAAAAAAAGTGAGAGACAAATTGGGCTTAGTTAAAATTTAAAACTTAAGTACTCCAAAAGACAATATTGAGAAAATGAGAAGACAAGCCGTAGATTGAGAGAAAATATTTCACAATTTATCACAAATTACATCTGTGATGAAGAACATGTATCCAGAATATGTGAAAAGTTCTTAAACTCAATGTAAGAAGATGAGCAACTCAACTAAAAATGAGCAAAACATGCTCAACTGACTTTTACAAAAGCACAAAAGCAATTCAATGAAGGAAGGAGAGCTTTCCCATCAAATGGTGATGGAACAACTGGACAACCACAGTGGAAAAAAATAACCTGAGCCAAAACTTCATGCTTCATACAAAAATAACTCAAAATGAGTCACAAGCTTTCATGTAAAGCACAGAGTTAAAATGGCAAACATTGAGCCAGGTGTGGTATCACAGGCCTGTACTCTCAGCTACTCAGGAAGCTGAGGTGGGAGGATCCCTTGAGCCCAGGAGTTCAAGGCCAGCCTAGGCAAGAATTTTTTTTCTAAAATAAATAATAAATTTAAATTTTTAAATTACAAGCCTTTTAAGAAAAAGTCATCAGAGCTAAGACTGGACAAAGAGTTCTTAGACATAACACCAAAAGTATGATCCATAAAAGTTAATAAATTGGATCTTATCAACACTAAAAACTGTTGTTCTGTGAGAGACCTATGAAGAGCATAAAAAGACAAGCTACAGAATGAGAGAAGATATTTGCAGGCAACATATTATGTAAAGACTGTATTCAGAATATATGAAGAAATTTTAAAAACAATAAAAATGAAATCCAAATACAAAACAGGCAATGAGCAAGACATGAACAGACATTTCACTGAAGAGGATAAATACTGGGCTAATAAGCAGATGAATAGGTGCTCAACATCATTATCCAGTAGGAAAATACAAATTAAAACCACAGTGATGAGAATGGCTGAAATACAAAATAAAGGTAGCAACAGATGCTGGCAAGGACGCAGAGGAACTGGGACACTCTTATATTGCTGGTAGGGATGTATTTTAAAATGGTACAGCCACTCTGGAAATGAGTATTGCAGTTTTCTTCAAACCGAACATGCAATTTACCTTATGACTAGCAATTGCCCTCCTAGGCACTTATTTCAAACAAGGGAATACTTTATGTTCACGAAAATCCTGTGCACAAATACTCTTGCAGCTTTATTCATGATACCCCCAAACAGGAATTAATACAACTGTCTTTCCGTAGGTGAGTGAGATCTGCTGGTTGAAATCATAACTGAGTCACACAAGTGCCCTTTCTCAAGGCTACCATCCTGCTTCTCTGTGCAGTAAGGGTCTTATGCATATTTCCCATTTTCTCACAAAGAATATTAAAGACGTATACTCAAGGATCAAACTTTAATCCACATAAATTTTTTACTGCTCCATCAAAGACACTCTTAAATGGGACTGCAGTTTGGAGCCACTGCCTGGTTCTGCTGAGGTGCTGGGTGTGCTACCGACCTTGGCATTTGCAGCACTAATGGAAAAGTCAACACAATGAAACAGGCAGATGGCATCTTGGTATTACTGTGAAAACAAGCCTGCCTCCAGGACTCTCTGAAGGCTGCTCAGGGGACACACTTTCAAAATGGCAAAGATCAATTATGGTTCCTAGTGGGACACAACCCCTAGCCTATTCCTATTCAGCACTGTCTTGCTCTCTATTTTCCCTCATTCTTCCAACTTATAACTGTATAAATTTTCAAATGTGCAAAGAAGCTGAAAGAACGGTGCAGTAAAATTCAAGTTACCACTCTGCCGTATTTGGTTAATATCTCTTTATATACATAAAAGGAGAGTGTGAAATGATGGACCATGGAGACCCAGAAGGGTAAGGGGGTTGGCAGTTGGTGTATAATAGAGGGGTTTCTTGATGGGTACAATGTGCTTGTCTCCAGTGCTGGATGCTCTGAAGGCCCTGACTTTACCACAACCAATATAGCAATGTAGCAAAATTGCACTTGTGCCTCATGAATATATATGAATTTAAGAAATAAAAAATAAAATAACATAACATGTCTCTTTATAGATACAGGTAGACATGTTTGTATAGCATGTGTGTGAATGTGTGTGTGTGCCTGTGTGTGTGTCCGCCTGTGTGTGTGTGTCCGTGTAGAGAGGCAGCACAAATTAAGAGATTAAGATTTTGTGACTGAGCTATTCCAAAGTAACTTAAACATAAAACACACATGGATAAATGTGTCTGTGACAACAAACCTGAATACAAACATGAAATAATATGTCTATAAACACATCTCTAGATAGATAGCTTATGAATGAATTCCCTACCCCAGCTCCCTTACTGGTTGCCCTGTGAACACAAGGAGTCAGGGAACAGGACCCAGCTAGGGTCCCTCATCCTTCTCTTGCATCCAGGCAGGTCCTGCATCCACTCTGGCTGCACAGAAGGCTCCCATCCCTGCCTTGGTCTGTTTCACAGGTGCTCCCCTAACTCTCTCTGCCACCACTGCTTTATCTGGATGGAGCTGAGGCTGCCCTGACCAAGAACAGCACCACCCATCTGTGTCCCCAAGACCAGGAAGTTAGGAGGAACCACACAACAAGGTCAGGAACTATCCCACCTCCCCAATCAGTCTGAACTGATGGCGGGAGATGCTGATGCTTGCTTTACTCATCCTCAATCCCAGCTCACTTATTCTTCATTAATTCAATCCAATCTCCCCAGCAGTCACTTCACCCCAGAAGCTGACTGACCTCTACTCTTCGTAATCAGGAAACCACAAAGCACTCTCCGTCCCCTCCCTGATATCACCCTTCAGCTCTACATCATCATATGTGGGCTCTAACTCTGCAGGGAAGATGTTGCCCCACAGGGTCAGCCCCTGAACACTGGCTGCAAATGTCCCCCCATCCCTTCCCAGCCCTTTCGGTGTTGCTGTGAATCTGTCCCTCACTGAGAACTGGTGGGGAGATGTGGGGGAGGAGGGGAGATTTCTTTATGCTGTGTCAAAGCATGGAGACAGACCTCTCCTTCTCTCCTGAACCTCACACTATCCCTTCCCAGACACTTGAAATAAAACGCAGACCAGAAATGTCTATTTAAGAGTTAAATATCTATAGTATAAAATATGAAGACAGAGTAGAATGGGGTAATGCAGGAGAGCATGACAGAGATGACAGGACCTCAAGGTGCCAGGAAAGCTGGTGCTGGGCCAGGACCAAGGAGCCATCAGCAGGACACTCACTCATAAAGCTCACCTATAATAATACAATTACTGCATATGTAATATATCAAAATATAATAAAATAACAAAATAACAAAAATAATATGGCACAGCTGCAAATACCCCATATATACTAACCCTTTTCATTCATCCAACCACAAGAAATAAATGCTCGTAGTTTCCCCATGTCATAGATGAGGAAAATGAGGCACAAAGAGAGAACATGCTGGTGAGGCCTAGGCAAGGAGTTGAATCCAGACCGCCTGGCTGCAGAGTCTAGTTGCCCTCAGTGGAGCCAGCGAACCCAGGAGCTGACACCAGAGACTGAGATCTCAGCTGTGCACTGCCCTGGTGGTCTCCTGTCCCAACCAGGTGTTGACCCAGGCCTTGCAGGCTCACGCGCTCTGGAAAAAAGAGAGAAACCAATAAATGCTCCCCTGGGTGCAGAGTGCTGCTTTTTATTTCCTGAGGAGTTCTCCCTCCTCAGTCACTCCCAAATCAGATTTACCCTTTCTCTGACGGAAGATGACGTCCCCACTTTTTTCTCCCTCCCATGGCACTTTTCCAGCCCCTGCCAGTCCCCTCCCGTGACTCCATCAACATCAGCACCTGCCCTGTGTCCACCATCCATTGTGCAGTGAGTGAAAGGACCCAGGACTAAGGAACAAGACCCAAGAGGAAACTCAGTGCCCTTTCCTCCTCCTCTCAAGCCTGACCAGCCCTGACACAGTGAGAGGCCTCCCCAAAGAGAGGCCCTGGCCCTGTCTCCATGTCCTTCCAGGTCTGGGCCAAGTCACACACAGTCCTTCTCTTCCTGAGACCCCAGGCCCTCTTCACCTGCAGAGGCACCTGCATACCAGGGCAGGCCCTGCACACTGTGGGTTCTGCCCTCCACCAGCAGCTCACTGTTCCTCCCCTCCCAGCTCTGAGCAGACAGCTCCTAACTAGAGATCCTATCAGGAAGCCCTGGGGCTCACAGGCCCTGCATGGAAATATGTGGCTGCCATGGAGTCTGCACCTGACCTGATGCTGGGGACCCCCTTGCTCAAGGAGGCCCAGCCTGCCCTCCCCATAACCTGCATTTGGGCTGTGCTTGCTCCTGCCTGTCCACTCAACCCTGGAAATGCAGCTCCACCCCAGGGCTGCTGCTTGGTGAGGCTGCAAGCCCTTCCTGTCCCATTCCTAACAGGGATTCCACCCAGGCCACTGCCATCGCAGCTCACAGGGGATCTTCTTCGCCTGTGGAGTAGGGGGTTTCTTCAGACCCCTCATCCTGAGGCTGCCTCTACGCACCCTCTGCACCTGGGGATTGCCACTGCCACAGGCACTGTCTCCCACATGGACCCTCTGAGAAACGAAGCCCCAAATTTGACTTCCTGTTCTATTCAACATCCTTTACAACATCAGTGTTGGAGGAAATCCTATTAAGATTATCCAGCTGAAATTATGTTGATGTACACCAATACTTAAAGCAGGAATTTTGAGAAACTAACATGTAATTTTCATGCCCTTTTTCTAGCCAATGTCCCAGTGACCTACGAGAAAACCATTCCTGCCTACAGGGAACCAGAACTGACAATCCCTCTATAGGAGACACCGCAGGTGAGAGCAGGAGCAACCACAGACCTGCACTGCCCGCGCTGTGGTTGCCTCCTGGACGGGGCCCTCTTGCTGCAGGGCAGGGGATGAACCGTCCCATCTGCCCAGGCCTGAGTGGCCAACTAACTGTGCAATTAGGTTCAAGGATGAGTCACCACCACCTCACTGGCCAGACACACGGAAGTGGAGAAATGGCAGAAAGACTCGGGTTTCCTGGACACCTCAGACTCTCACTGTCCCCTGCACTGCCTCTGTCTTTGCAGAAACTCAAAACTTTCTGCTTGCTCTTTTCCTCTCCCCTCAAACAACCTGACTGTGGGGGACATGATTCTGACTGTCTCTTATTTTAAACTTACCAGGCAGTGACTACACTAAGAACAAAAAAATTGGCTCAGGAAAGGCAAGGTGAGGCCACAGAGCACAGAACAAAGCCCAAAAAACAGCCCACTGGGTACTATGACCCTCGGGGGCTGGAAAAAGTAACACCTGGACATGGGATGAAAACAGGGACCACAGCTGCCCTGACAGAGGGCTGGTCCCCACTCCCCAAATAGCCCAGGGACATCTGCTTATCAACTGGTCCATATTATCTGCAAGGAAACACAGGGAGACAGGGGCCATATGGTGGGAACCCAGAAAAAGCACGGTCTCGAGGGACCCAGAGGACGTGACACCCCTGAGACAGCTCCCAGATGAGGCATATGGGGAGCTGCAAAGTGGACAGAGGATGGCCATGTGCACTCAGGACTCTCCCTGTTACAAGGGGACCTCAAAGGGGCTGTACACATGGGGGCCCTCATTCTGGGTCTCGTGGGTCTTTTTCTTGATGTCCTCCTGATGGCTGGAGAAACAGGGGAGGGGGATGCAGAAAGGAAGGGACTAGAGGCACCACCTCTCCTTGGATTCCTCTCCAGTTTCTAGCCCTCCCTAGATCACATCTGCCTTTACTATTTGCTCCCTCTGAGATAGCGATCATCCAGGCCCTCAGCAATCAGCACGCAATTCCCAACTCACCCACCTGGATGCAACCTGGTAAGCCTGAGAGACAGAGACCGGGATGGGGACAAAGCAGGCACCACGGCCCTCCCTGCTGCCCACTCCTCACCTGCAGCAGGAGGAGGCTACAGCTGGATGTTCGAGGGCCTTGGCCCAGCCCTGGCTTGGGCAGGACTTAAGGGTGTAAAAAATAACCTACATGTGATGGCTCATTTTCAATTCTATGTGCCTTAGTATAGGTTTAAGCAGGCCACATGGTCATAAAGAGATAAAGAAGGAAAATGTACTAAGCCACCATCCCCCCTACTTCTTGCTTTCCCTTTCATGCACTGGCCAGGCACCTATCGGTTGGGGCCCCCTCAACGACCCCTTCCCCACCTCACCAAAAAATGTAGTTTAGGCTAACTTGCAACATAGATAATTGTACCCTTTCTTATCAACTAAGTGCAGCCATTAGGGACATAAGTCAAATGTTTAAAGAGTCCTGAGACAATCACAATGCATTATGGGCTGCAACAAAATGCAGCAAAAAAAAAAAAAACCCTAAGGAACATACTAGAAGTCTTAAACTACCAATAGGTGACATCCGGGAAGATCGTAAGTCCTTGGTACTCAGCTAATGAGCAACTGGGGGAGGGAGTTGAGCACTAGGGAATAAATTGTTGAAACTCTCCCTGGTGTGCCTGCATTCCAGACACCCAATATTGCAAAACCGTCACTGACACTCTCACTTTTGCTGTTCTCTGGGTCTCAGAGTCCATTCTTTGGGTTTGGATGGGTGCGTTTGTTTCTCATAATCTAGTTGCCTATATGGGGATCTCTGTGCTTGTGTGAAGTGAGTGAGACTCTGCCTGAAAGGAGAAACACATACCAATTGATTCATGTGGCCCATTCTATCTGGATGTCCTGGCTCCTCGCAGAAGCCATAGACAAACTTGAAACTGTTATTCAGGACACAATGAAAGTGACATGGGGGTACGGGAGGGTGGGGTGGAAAGTGGGCACCACAGCAACCAGGCAACCTCATGTGTCTTGTGGAAGGCACTGAAAGTACTGTGGGGGTCACATCACCATGAGAGAGCTGAAGGATGTGGGGTGGTGTTGGGGCTGTCTATCGTCTCTACGTAATCCAGCAAACTGTCCCTGAGGGAGCCTGATGAGGCCTAAAGAATGAATGAGATTACTCTAGGTATGGCCAAGTAGGAGTTATAATTGCAGCTTTTATGTTGTCTGGATATCACTGGTAGAGCAGATTAATAAATCCTTGGGCCCACAGTGTGCAGCTGCAGACTTGGTGAGTGCATTCCTTTCCACTCCAATTAGAAAGGGGATATGGAATGATTCACATTCATGTGGGATCCACAACACATTTATTTATCATTTGCCTCAGGGCTATTGTAACTCCTCTGCCCGCTATAGTATATAGTCTTAAGACTACACTAGACATACTGGATATCCTATAGGATATTAAATCAGCTCATTTCATTGACAATTTCATGTTTACTGGGGTGGATGAGCAGCAGGTAGAAAGTGCACTGGAGTCCTTGGCAAAACAAGCACACTCCAGAAGGTGAAGGTAAACCTTACAGAGCTTCAAGAGTGGCCACTGAAGTGAAGTTTTATGGGTGAACAAGTGCCAAGTGTTTAGGGGAATGTAGGTGTGTCCCCTCCAAGGTAAAAGACAAACTGTTTCATCTTGCATCCTCACCAGAAGGAAGGAAGCACACTGCCTGATGAGCCTCTTTGAGTTCTGATGACACCACATTCCACATTTAGGTGTGTTGCTTTGGCCCACACTCTAGGTGACATAGGAGGAGGCCACCTTCATGTGGGGCCCACACAGGAAAGGACCCTGCAGCAGATCCAGGCCATGGTACAAGCAGCCAGCATCCCTCAGACCCCTTGGGGCTGGTGGTGCCAGTGGTGGGGAAAGATGCAGGATGGAGCTGAACCAAGCACCAGTGGGAGAGTCACAATGGAGGGCCTGGGATTCTGGAGTAAGATCATGTCATCCACAGCAGAGACATATGCCCCCTGTTAGAAGCAACATTTAGTGTTACTTGTCCTGATTTGATAGAATGCTTGACCAAGAGACACCAAACAACAATGTGGTTCCAAGTGGCTGTGTGACCCACAAAGTCATAAATTGCACAGGCCCAACAGCATTCATCAACAGGTGAAAATGGTCCACCTGGGTTGAGCTTGAATCCCATGTTGACACCCACAGAAAACACCCAAGTGTGATGTGGCACTGAACAACCAAACAGACAAATGGCAGTTAGCCAGCCTTCACCATGGGTCAGCCCAGGCCTGGTAGGATGGGTGCATGAATGGAGCAACCACAGTGGCAGGCATGAGGCTATGTATGGGGCCAGCAGCACTGACTCTCCCAGCCCTACCAAGGTAGATCCAGCTACTGCCACTCCTGAATGTCAACTCGTCAGCATTTGGAGCCCATGATGTGCCCTAGTGGGGCACTATTTCTTTCGGCGACCAGCCACTAAGTAACAAGTGACTACATTTAGCTACTTCCATCCTGGAAGGGCCAGAGGTTCATCTTCACAGAAATAGGCTCATATTCCATGGGTGGGTTTTCCTGTCTTGCTCTGACACTCAGCCAGCACCACTCTCCGGGTGCTGTTGACATTCCTGATCTGCAGGCTAGGCGGTGCTCCTAGCCCATTCTCTGCCTGAAGGACCCATTTGGCCTGGAAAGTTTTAATGTTTCCATGGCTGTGGGTTCCACTAATCCTATCACCATCTGCACCACCCAGGAGCTACCAGCCACAAGGAATGCTGGACAGGTCTTCTATAGGCACAACTCAGTGCCAGCCTGGAGGAAGCACTCTGAGAGTGCCATCTTTCAGAACATGGTATATTGTTTGAATCAGAGATGTCTCTATGGTGCTGTGTTCTCAATGGAAGAACATGTGGGTCCAGAAATCAAAAGGTGGAAGCAGGTATGGCTCCATGTCCAATCTCTTAGATTCACCCACTAAGGTATTTTGCCTTTTTTATCTCCCAACAATGGGCTGTGCGGGTTAGGAGGTCCTGGTTTCCAAAGGAGGGTACCCTTAAAAGTAGACAAAAGAGAGCCCATTGAACTACACATTATTTTAGTCACCAGAGAAGTTTGGAGAGCATGTTCCCAGAGACCACATCGTGAGAAGAGGAGTGTCCTTCTCTCCAGGCCCAGGTAATAGGCCCTCATCCCCAGGAGGAGGCATGGCTACTTTCACACAATGAGGGCAGAAGTGTGTGTGGAAACCAGACATCCACCTGGGAACCTTCTGGGTCCCCTTGCCCCATTGTAAGTGTGAGCAGAATCATCCAGAAATTTAGCTTGAGAGGATTTGATTTCCAAGAACCCAGACCCATCTGGGCAGCAGGTTTGAGTCACACTCCTGGGTAATCTCCCAAGGCCCTGCTCCTGTGCTCTGACATCCTCAGTAGCATTGGTATGGAGGCCCTGCTTCCCATGGGCTGTTCCCAGTCAGTGATGGCTCACACCAGTGACACTAAGGCAGGACATTCCTGGGAGACAGGGGACTCCTCTGATGGCCAATGGTGGCTCCGGGTCTCCTCCATGGCCTTGCTCAACTCTCCTTAGATTGCCTGTGGTCTAGGAAACATCCAGTAAACCTTCTCTCCTTCTGTCCATCACTGGGGGTCACACTTGCATCTCGGCCTGTTGCCTTTCCCAGGGTAACCTGACTCCCTCACAATATCGTCTGACAGGTATGTCCCCTAATAAAATGTTGTAACTTTAATCCCATGATGGCACTTGCTTTTTGGAGGATTTGGACTACAAAATCATTTTCATCTGCACACCAGTGTCCTCTTATTCCAATTTGTAAAATCCTTTTGTTTATTCAACTTCTTCTACTTGCGTTGGCTCCATTTTGCTGGTATTTGTATTATGTTTTTGAGTTCGTCAATGTTTGTTGATTTAATCACTAAATTTGGGGGTAGTTTGTTATGCGGCAATGGATAACTAATGAAGCCCTCTTACATTTCCATTATTCTATACAGGTTACGTACATCTGCTTTATTTCCTTCCATTTTCATAACACTGGCCATACGTAGGGTTTCTAGTTTCTCAACGTGTATTCTTTTCTTTATTTTAGTTTCTTTTCTTTTTTGTTCCTTCCCTTTCTCCTTCCTTCTGTCCCTCCCTCCCTCTCTTTCTTCTCTATTTCCATTCAACCTCTCGCCTTCCCTCCTTTTTACTCTGCTTTCCTTCCCTTTTCTTCCCCTTCCCCTTCCTTCTTTTCTTCTTTCACTCCTTCTTCTCTTCCTCCTTCTTTCCCTCCCTTCCTCCATTTTTTCCTTTTTATTATGAAAATTTCCTAACATATAAAATAACCCTATGTGATTGTGCTATAAGTAAGCATTTTCTGAATCTGTATGTCAAAAGTACAATGCCACGGTATATGAGAAACAAGTAAACAACAGAAAGTTATTGACAGAATCTAAATAAAAATGCCTGCTATAATTCTGCAGCCAAGACAGTGGCTTTCAACTCAATTCCTTCAACTCAGTGTTTTCAGAACACATCATCAACATCAAGTATTACGCACTTATTTCAAAAGTTTAGGCCAGGCGTGGTGGTTCACGCCTGTAATCCCAGCACTTTGGTAGGCTGAGGTGGGTGGACCACCTGAGGTCAGGAGTTCAAGACCAGTCTGGCTAACATGGTAAAACCCCATTGTCGCAATCGGTTACTATGGGATATAATGAAGGGGGATGAACACAGAAATAAAGACAAAGACAAAAAGATCTGTTCTAAAAGAAGGGGTCGGGGGCTTCTTGCTTCTAGTGATTCCTTCTGGCAGCAAACTCAGTTTGTCAGTTTGCCAACATCCTGCTTTCATGAGAACAGTTTGCTGTTTGCTCATATAGCCTCCAGTGGTATACTGAGTTGATCACGACCCTCATTCTTTCGGCCTCCAATACCCCGACTCTACTAAAAATACAAAAATTAGCTGGGCGTGGTGGTGCATGCCTGTAATCCCAACTACTCGGGAGGCTGAGGCAGGAGAATTGCTTGAACTGGGAGGTGGAAGTTGCAATCAGCCAAGATAGCACCACTGCAGTTCAGCCTGGGCAACAGAGCAAGACTTCGTCTCAAAAATAAATAAATAAATAAATAAATAAATAAATAAATAAGTTTAAGTTGGCACAATCACTTTGGAAATCATATTATTATTATCTAGTATGGTTAAAGGCCATACAACATATCATCCAATCATCCCACTCCTAATCATACACTCTGCGGGCTTTCTTGCCTATGTGCCCAGGAGACATGCACACTAATGTTTATGGCAAGAACTGGAATCAGCTACATATATATCAATAGAAAACTAGTGCAATTATGGTATAACCATAAAATGTAAACCTTCAGCAGTAAAAACGAATGAATGACAGCCTCCCACACCACAGATAACTCCTATATGTAATGTGCATCATGGGAAAATAAATGCAGTAGGAATTTGCTGTACTGGAAGCTTAAAAACCATCAAAACTAACTAATATTTGGATTGGGGATATATCTATACTTATTACACAAATCCTTAAAGAAACTCTATAATTTCTTTATAGATATTATGAAAACAGCAAGGTACTGGTACAAAAACAGGCACATAGACCAATGGAACAGAACAGAGAACTCAGAAATAAGACCACACATCTAAATAAAGGAATAATAATCACAAGACTCAGGGTGGAGTCTCCTTTTGGGGGATGTGAATGGGCAGCAGCCCAGGGTAGTTTACAGGTTCTGTGTTTTACAACAGTGCTGGCTAAAGTCCAAACAACATATCATCCATTCCCTTTTAAAATGGAACTTTTAAAATAAATGTGTAATACTTGATGTTGATGATGTGTTCTGAAAACATTGAGTTGAAAGAATTGACTTAAATTCCTAATTCCTTAAATAGATTTTTTCAAAGTAAAATATGCTTGGTTTTTATAAAAATGAAAGAGAAAAGAATACCAAAGTTCATTGCAAGCATCCTTAACAAGAACTACTTACATTGGAACAAAACCACACAGAATTGTAAGGAGCCATGTGACAGAGAGGACCACGAGGCCATGAAAATGGCTTTGGCTACAAATAGGTCATTTGATCCTTGGCTCACTGGCATCTCTGTAGATTTTCATGTATACAATCTTCAATCTGATGTGCAAGGTAATTCCATCTTGCAAAGGATTTGATGTTACATTCTACCACACATACCACTGAATTAAACTTTTACAGAATTGGAAATGCACATCATTGATCAAAATAAATGAAACAAGAAAAGAGTAGAAAGGAATAACCAGTGATGGAATAGCAATATGAATAGAAAACACAATAGGACTGCGAAAACAAAGAAACAAACAAAACCACTTCAGAAGCACCTGATGGCATGCTATTTAGAATCATAGTGGTGTCCAAATCACTTCTATCACATATCATTCAATATCACAACAAAAGATGTTAAGTGTATTATAGAATGCCGATCGAATAGCCAGTTATCGAAAAAACTAGTTTCTCAATTCGAGCTAACAATTTCGTGATACTGCATCAAACCGAAGTTATTGGCATGCTAGATGTGTTGACTGAAGTATGAGATTCACATCTTTGTAAATGAAAAGCAATCTGATTAAGCAATATTTTTCTAAGTGAAAGCAAGTTAATTAGAGAAAGAAACAAAGGATGGCTACTCCAGAGACAGAGCAGTACTTCTTTTTTTAAGTGTAGGCAAATGTTTTTTGGAAGACGATATTTCAATAAGAAAACTGGCACTAGGGGCATACTTCCCCTAAATTTGAGACATTTTAGACAAAACAAAGACTTATTTTCAAGGCATTATTTTTATAGCACTAAAGTCTTGGAACTATTTGATCTAGTTATTCTATGTTCTCAACTGTGTTAACTCATTGAAGAGAACATTGCTGTTATTAAAGATATTGGCAAGAAAAACTCAGAGATACTGTTGTATCTCCTTTCTCTGCCTCAAACTGTTTTCCCCTCAACACCTAAGGCTCTGTGATGTCTCAAACTTTTAGTCATTAATTTAAAAAGTGAAGCTTATCATAGAATTAGAAAAAAACTATTTTAAAATTCATATGGATCCAAAAAAGAGCTCCTATAGCCAGAAGAATCCTAAGCAAAAAGAACAAAGCTGGAGGCATGAGGCTACCTGACTTAAAACTATACTACAAGGCTACAGTAACTGAAACAGCAAGGTACTGGTACAAAAACAGGCACATAGACCAATGGAACAGAATAGAGAACTCAGAAATAAGACCACACATCTAAAACCCTGTGATCTTCAATGAGCCTGACAAAAATAAGCAATGGGCAAAGGATTCCCTATTTAACAAATGGTGCTGGGAGAACTGGCTAGCAATCTGCAGAAAATTGAAACTGGACTCCTTCCTTACACCTTGCCCAAAAATTAACTTAAGATGGATTAAAGACTTAAATGTAAATCCCAAAACTATAAAAACCCTGGAAGAAAATCTAGGCAATACCAATCAGGACATAGGGATGGGCAAAGATTTTATGATGAAAATGCCAAAAGCAACTGCCACAAAAGCAAAAATTGACAAATGGGATCTAATTAAACAAAAGAGCTTCTGTAGAGTGAAAGAAACTATTATCAGAGTGAACAGACATTTCTCCCAGAATGGGAGAAAATTTTTGCAGTCTGTCCACCTGACAAAGGTCTCATATTCAGAAGCTACAAAGAACTTAAGCAAATTTACACCAAAAAAAAAGCTTCATTAAAAAGTGGACAAAGGACCTAAACAGACACTTCTCAAAAGAAGACATACATGTGGCCAATAAACATAAGAAAAAAAGCTAAACATCACTGATCATTAGAAAAATGCAAATCAATACTACAATGAGATACCATCTCATGCCAGTCAGAATGGCAATTATTAAAAGTCAAGAAACAACAGATGCTGGCAAGGTTGCAGAGAAATAGGAAGGCTTTTACACTGTTGGTGGAAATGTAAATTGGTTCAACCATTGTGGAAGACAGTGTGGCAATTCCTCAAAGATTTAGAACCAGAAATACCATTTGACCCAGCAATCCCATTAAAGGTTATATACCCAAAGGAATATAAATCATTCTATTATAAAGGTATATGCATGTGTATGTTCATTGCAGCACTATTCACAATAGCAAAGACATGGAATCAACCCAAATGCCCACCAGTGAGGAACTGGATAAAGAAAATATGGTACATATACACCACGGAATATTATGCAACCATAAAAAGGAATGAGATCAAGTCCTTTGCAGAGATACGAATGAAGCTGGAAGCCATTATCCTCAGCAAACTCACACAGGAACAGAAAACCAAACACCGCATGTTCTCACTTATAATTGGGAACTGAGCAATGAGAATACATGGAACCAGGGAGAGGAAAAACACACAATGGGGCCTGTTCGGGGAGGGCAGTGATGGGGGGATCATTAGGAAAAATAGCTAATGAATGCCAGGGTTAACACCTAGGTGATGGGTTGATAGGTACAGCCAACCACCATGGCACATGATTACCTATGTAACAAACCTGCACATCCTGCACATGTACCCTGGAACTTAAAATTAAATTAAATTAAATTAAATTAAAAGATAAGCTTAAAGCATTAAAGAAAAATAATTAGATAAAAGAAGTCTTTGATTTACAAAATCCTGAAACAATAGTTTTAATTTTGCTTTTAACATATACGTAAGTCCTTTAGTACAGCTCTCTTTCAGAGGTGCAGCTTAATTCCCTCTCTTAAGTGTGGCTTGGACTTAATGATGCACTTCTGATATGGCCTATCTCTGTGTTCCCACCCAAATCTCATTTTGAATTGTCATGCGAATTCTGATCCCCACATATTGGCGGCGGGACTTCATGGGAGGTGATCGAATCATGGGGATGATTCCCCCAAGCTGTGGAAGTCAGCGGTTGAACCTATTTTTCCTAATGCTCCCCTCAGCACTGCCCTCCCATAATAGGCTCCAGTGTGTGATGTTCCTCTCCCTGTGTCCATGTGTTCTCATTGCTCAGCTCCCAGTTATAAGTGAGAACATGTGGTGTTTGGTTTCCTGTTCCTGTGTTAGCTTGCTGAGGATAATGGCTTCCAGCTTCATCCATATCCCTGCAAAGGACTTGATCTCATTCCTTTTTATGGCTGCATAATATCCATGGTGTATATGTACCATATAAGGGGATTTTCCCCACTTCACTCTGCATTTTTCTCTCCTGCCACCATGTGAAGAATGACACGTTTGCTTCCCCTTCTGCCATGATTGTAAGTTTCCTGGGGCAGCCTCCTCAGCCATGCACAATTGCGAGTCAACTAAACCTCTTGCCTTTATAAATTACCCAGTCTCAGGTATTTCTTTATAGCAGTGTGAGAACAGACTAATACAACTTCTAACTGATAGAGTAATGCTGACATAACAGTTTGTGACTCTGGGTGTAGAATGTGAAACTCACTATGGCTTCCACCTTCTCTCTCTCTGTCTCTGGGATCATGAGCTCTTGGGGACCCAGCTGCTGTGCCATAAGCAGCCCTGCAGGAAGGTCCATGTGGCTAAGAACTGAGGTCCCCTGGGACCAGACAGCAAGGAACTAGGCTTTTCCAACAGCCATGTGACTAAGCCATGTTTCATGTGAATCCTCAGCCCCAGTGAAGCCCTCAGACGATGCAGCCCTAGGCTGACAACTGGACTGCAACCTTGTGAGAGGCCCTGAGCCAGAAGCACTCAGGAAAACCGCTCCTGGATTCCTGACCATTAGAAACTGTGGGAGATGATGAATATTTGCTGTTTTGAGCTGCTAAGTTTTACATAATTTGTTACACAATAGTAAATAACTAATACATTTTCACAAGAGAGGATGTATTATTACACGTTAATTTGCATTTGCTCTAAATTTATCATCATCATATTACTATTTTTGAGACAGGGTCTTGCTCTGTCACCCAGGCTGGAGTGCAGTGGCATGATCACCATGCACTGCAGTGTCGACCTCCTGGGCTCAAGGGATCCTCTGATCTCAGCCTCTTGAGTAGCTGGGACTATAGGCATGAATTAACATGCCTGGCTAATTTTCTAATTTTTTTGTAGAGATGGGGGTTTCACCATGTTGCCCAGGCTGATCTTGAACTTCTGGAGTCAAATCTGCCTTCCTCTGCCTTCAACAGTGCTAGGATTGCAGGCGTGAGCCACCACACCTGGTCTAAATTAACTATAAGATATTAAACATGTAACTTAGTTTTAAAAGGAAAGGAGAAGTTCCACGGCTGAAGAGGATGTATTTTATTACTATTCATAATGATCACTTTACTTGAACTTCAGTTTCCAACTGTGTCCAAATTAAACACAAAAGGAAGATCCAGCCCTTCCTGGGCTGATTCTATCATGGCTCCCAACAACCAGCTCCTGGTCATTCACCTTCCCCCAGTTATTCAACCAACTCTAATGTAGGTGCTGCTGTGAAGGGATTTAGCAGATATAATTAAGGGCCTCAATTAGTTGACTTTAGGCTGAGTTTATCCTGCTTGGACTGTCCTAATAAGGAGAGTCCTTGAAAGGACTGGGTTCTTCCTGAGCATAGAGATTCACAGTGTGAGAGGGATTCAGCATGAGGGGTTTCCTCCACTGTGGGCTTTGAAAATGAAGGGGCTGTGTAGGAAAGAACGCTGGTGGGCACCATGCATTAAGTGCAGCCCTCCCTGTTCTCTACAGTGACAGCCAGTGAGGAACAGGGACCTCAGTCTTACAACTGCCAGAAACTGCATTCTGCCACCTCTGTATAAGCCTGAAGGAGGATTCAAAATGAAAACACAGGTTTAGGAAGACCGGAACAGAGATTCCATCCACATCATGCCCAGATTTCTGATTAAGAAACTATAAACAACAAATGGGTGTTATTTGGCCAGGCGTGGTAGTGCACACCTGTATCCTAACATTTGAGGAGCTGACACAGGAGGAACACTTGCAGCCAGGACTTTGAGACCAGCTAGGATAATATAGTGAGACACTCGTCTCTACATTTCTCTTTAATTAGCTGGGCATGGTGGCACTTGCCTGCAGTCCTAGCTACTCTGAAGACTGAGGTAGGAGGGTCCCTTGAGCCCAGGAATTTGAGGCTGCAGTGAGCCATGATCATGTGACTGCACTTCATCCTGGATGACAGAGGGAGACTCTGTATCTAAAAATAAATCAATGAATACAATAAATGGGTGCTGTTTAAAGCCAATGTTTGTGACAATTTGTTACCCAGTCTTATAAAATTCATACACAGACTCAAAAGACTCCTGGAATGAACTGATGAATTGATACGCACACTAGTTACATAAAATAAAATCTTTTTTAACTTTTTCAGTGTTTTACATTTTATAATTTTCTGTGATGCAATTTAATACACTCATAATTCATTCATTCAGCCAAGAAAAAATAATTTAGTCCCTACAATGAACCAGGTATGCCCTCATATGCTCAAGTGCCTGACATTCTAGAAGCTTCACAAGAATGAGGTGGAGCCACTGGAGTGTTTTAGGTGGAGAAATGACACACTCTGACTCATAGTAGCAGGACCACTATAGAGAGAACACTCATGTAGCAGGTCATGGAACAGTGCTAGAGCCACAATTCAGGAGTGAGAGGGTGGTGGGGATTAAGGGGAGAAGAGGGCCTGAGGGATGAGAGGGACGGAGGGAAGGGCTGGAGGAGCAGGAGGTGAGGAAAAGGAGCAGAGGAAAGAATTCCAAAGCAGCGGAACTCTTAGGTTTAAACACATTGTTTTATAGATTTTATTACATCCATCTACAGAGCCTCGCTGGGTGTTCTTTGCAGTTGGCCTTTAATATCTTATGTGGGTCTGCCTAGAAACTAATTGTTTTTTATGTTAATCAGGTTTAAAAAATACTAAGTATTCCTAAAAAATATACACTCCACTCACATGTGGATACTTCCTAAAAACAGGCAGTGCATGAGCACTAGTGAGGGGCATTGTGACTGCACTGAACACTTACAACTGTGAGGTGAATAAAGTTTGTGCTGGCTCCTGGTTGCAACATATAGTAACATAGTGTGGTACTTTGTCTTGAGGAGATGTCCTGGACTCACACGGAAACTTAGGGCTACGGAATGAAGGTAAATTTAAAATAAAACAAGCGGGAGTCACAGATACATTGTCTGGGAAAGTGAAACTTAAGAGCTTTGTGAGTCCTGTTGTAAGGCTTTTAGATGCATTTATATACCAACGGGCCAAAGTCACATTTTTTACCTATTAGATTCCTGATCATTCAGGGGTTACCAAGATTATGCTACCCACTATAGTTAATAAACAAAAAGCAAACTGGTCTCTATTCTATCTCATGCACTCAGGCACAACTTTTCCAGATTTAAGGGGGAAAAAAAACCCTGTCTTTACACCTACAATCCCAGGGCGAGCTCACTCTCTGGCACCAAGCTCCGTGGGGTGATTTTTCTTCTAGAAGAGTACAGGAGGACAGGCAAGGAGTGGGAGGCAGGGAGTCCAGTTCAGGGACAGGGATTCCGGGATGAAAAGTGAAGGGAGAGGGACAGGGACCTTGCCGAGGGTTTCTCCCTGGTTTCTCAGACAGCTCCTGGGCCAAGACTCAGGGAGACACTGAGACAGAACGCTTGGCACAAGAGTAGCGGGGTCAGGGCGAAGTCCCAGGGCCTCAAGCGTGGCTCTCAGGGTCTCAGGCCCCACAGGCGGTGTATGGATTGGGGAGGCCCCGCGTTGGGGATTCTCTCCTCCTTCTCCTAACCTGTGTCGGGTCCTTCTTCCTGGATACTCACCGGGCGGCCCCAGTTCTCACTCCCATTAGGTGACAGGTTTTTAGAGAAGCCAATCAGCGTCGCCGCGGTCCTGGTTCTAAAGTCCTCGCTCACCCACCCGGACTCATTCTCCCCAGACGCCAAGGATGGTGGTCATGGCACCCCGAACCCTCTTCCTGCTACTCTCGGGGGCCCTGACCCTGACCGAGACCTGGGCGGGTGAGTGCGGGGTCAGGAGGGAAACGGCCCCTGCGCGGAGGAGGGAGGGGCCGGCCCGGCGGGGGCGCAGGACCCGGCAGCCGCGCCGGGAGGAGGGTCGGGCGGGTCTCAACCTCTCCTCGCCCCCAGGCTCCCACTCCATGAGGTATTTCAGCGCCGCCGTGTCCCGGCCCGGCCGCGGGGAGCCCCGCTTCATCGCCATGGGCTACGTGGACGACACGCAGTTCGTGCGGTTCGACAGCGACTCGGCGTGTCCGAGGATGGAGCCGCGGGCGCCGTGGGTGGAGCAGGAGGGGCCAGAGTATTGGGAAGAGGAGACACGGAACACCAAGGCCCACGCACAGACTGACAGAATGAACCTGCAGACCCTGCGCGGCTACTACAACCAGAGCGAGGCCAGTGAGTAACCCCGGCCCAGGGCGCAGATCACGACCCCCCACCTCCATGCCCCACGGACGCCCCGGGTACTCCCGAGTCTCCGGGTCTGGGATCCACCCCGAGGCCGCGGGACCCGCCCAGACCCTCTACCTGGGAGAACCCCAGGCGCCTTTACCAAAATCCCTGCGGGTGGGTCCGGGCGAGGGCGAGGCTCGGTGGGCGGGGCTGACCGAAGGGGTGGGGCCAGGTTCTCATACCCTCCAGTGGATGATTGGCTGCGACCTGGGGTCCGACGGACGCCTCCTCCGCGGGTATGAACAGTATGCCTACGATGGCAAGGATTACCTCGCCCTGAACGAGGACCTGCGCTCCTGGACCGCAGCGGACACTGCGGCTCAGATCTCCAAGCGCAAGTGTGAGGCGGCCAATGTGGCTGAACAAAGGAGAGCCTACCTGGAGGGCACGTGCGTGGAGTGGCTCCACAGATACCTGGAGAACGGGAAGGAGATGCTGCAGCGCGCGGGTACCAGGGGCAGTGGGGCGCCTCCCTGATCTCCTGTAGACCTCCCAGCCTGGCCTAGCACAAGGAGAGGAGGAAAATGGGACCAACACCAGAATATCGCCCTCCCTCTGGTCCTGAGGGAGAGGAATCCTCCTGGGTTTCCAGATCCTGTACCAGAGAGTGATTCTGAGGGCCCGTCCTGCTCTCTGGGACAATTAAGGGATGAAGTCTCTGAGGGAGTGGAGGGGAAGACAATCCCTGGAGGACTGATCAGGGGTTCCCTTTGACCCCACAGCAGCCTTGGCACCAGGACTTTTCCCCTCAGGCCTTGTTCTCTGCCTCACACTCAATGTGTGTGGGAGTCTGACTCCAGCTCCTCTGAGTCCCTTGGCCTCCACTCAGGTCAGAACCAGAGGTCCCTGCTCCCCCGCTCAGAGACTAGAACTTTCCAAGGAATAGGAGATTATCCCAGGTGCCCGTGTCCAGGCTGGTGTCTGGGTTCTGTGCTCCCTTCCCCACCCCAGGTATCTGGTTCATTCTTAGGATGGTCACATCCAGGTGCTGCTGGAGTGTCCCATGAGAGATGCAAAGTGCTTGAGTTTTCTGACTCTTCCTTTCAGACCCCCCCAAGACACACGTGACCCACCACCCTGTCTTTGACTATGAGGCCACCCTGAGGTGCTGGGCCCTGGGCTTCTACCCTGCGGAGATCATACTGACCTGGCAGCGGGATGGGGAGGACCAGACCCAGGACGTGGAGCTCGTGGAGACCAGGCCTGCAGGGGATGGAACCTTCCAGAAGTGGGCAGCTGTGGTGGTGCCTTCTGGAGAGGAGCAGAGATACATGTGCCATGTGCAGCATGAGGGGCTGCCGGAGCCCCTCATGCTGAGATGGAGTAAGGAGGGAGATGGAGGCATCATGTCTGTTAGGGAAAGCAGGAGCCTCTCTGAAGACCTTTAACAGGGTCGGTGGTGAGGCCTGGGGGTCAGAGACCCTCACCTTCACCTCCTTTCCCAGAGCAGTCTTCCCTGCCCACCATCCCCATCATGGGTATCGTTGCTGGTCTGGTTGTCCTTGCAGCTGTAGTCACTGGAGCTGCGGTCGCTGCTGTGCTGTGGAGGAAGAAGAGCTCAGGTAAGGAAGGGGTGACAAGTGGGGTCTGAGTTTTCTTGTCCCACTGGGGGTTTCAAGCCCCAGGTAGAAGTGCGCCCTGCCTGGTTACTGGGAAGCACCATCCACACTCATGGGCCTACCCAGCCTGGGCCCTGTGTGCCAGCACCTTCTCTTTTGTAAAGCACCTGTGACAATGAAGGACAGATTTATCACCTTGATGATTGTAGTGATGGGGACCTGATCCTAGTAATCACAGGTCAGGGGAAGGTCCCTGGCTAAGGACAGACCTTAGGAGGGCAGTTGGTCGAGGACCCACATCTGCTTTCCTTGTTTTTCCTGATCCCGCCCTGAGTCTGCAGTCACACATTTCTGGAAACTTCTCGAGGGTCCAAGACTAGGAGGTTCCTCTAGGACCTCATGGCCCTGCCACCTTTCTGGCCTCTCACAGGACGTTTTCTTCCCACAGATTGAAAAGGAGGGAGCTACTCTCAGGCTGCAAGTAAGTATGAAGGAGGCTGATCCCTGAGATCCTTGGGATCTTGTGTTTGGGAGCCCATGGGGGAGCTCACCCACCCCACAATTCCTCCTCTGGCCACATCTCCTGTGGTCTCTGACCAGGTGCTGTTTTTGTTCTACTCTAGGCAGTGACAGTGCCCAGGGCTCTAATGTGTCTCTCACGGCTTGTAAATGTGACACCCCGGGGGGCCTGATGTGTGTGGGTTGTTGAGGGAAACAGTGGACATAGCTGTGCTATGAGGTTTCTTTGACTTGAATGTATTGAGCATGTGATGGGCTGTTTAAAGTGTCACCCCTCACTGTGACTGATATGAATTTGTTCATGAATATTTTTCTGTAGTGTGAAACAGCTGCCCTGTGTGGGACTGAGTGGCAAGATTTGTTCATGCCTTCCCTTTGTGACTTCAAGAACCCTGACTTCTCTTTCTGCAGAGACCAGCCCACCCCTGTGCCCACCATGACCCTCTTCCTCATGCTGAACTGCATTCCTTCCCCAATCACCTTTCCTGTTCCAGAAAAGGGGCTGGGATGTCTCCGTCTCTGTCTCAAATTTGTGGTGCACTGAGCTATAACTTACTTCTGTATTAAAATTAGAATCTGAGTATAAATTTAGTTTTTCAAATTATTTCCAAGAGAGATTGATGGGTTAATTAAAGGAGAAGATTCCTGAAATTTGAGAGACAAAATAAATGGAAGACATGAGAACTTTCCACAGTACACGTGTTTCTTGTGCTGATTTGTTGCAGGAGAGGAGAGTAGATGGGGCTGCGCCCAGTGGGTGCTCAGGCCACCATGAACTTTATGTGGTCACTGCTCAGCTGGGTCATCTTTGCTGCTCCATTGTCCTTGGCCCTTCAGTAGAACCTTGTCCCACCAGGACCTGTGATCACATAGACTTGGATATCACCTAGGGTGGTCCCTACACTTAGAAGTTCCTGTGTTATCAGAAGAAAAATTTTCAGACCCCTACACCTCTTCCCCTCCTTCCAGGTCTCTTTCAATTGTATTTTCCATCTTTTTTTTTTTTTTTTTTTTTTTTTTTTTTTTTTTGAGATGGAGTCTCACTCAGGCTGGAGTGCAGTGGTGCAATCTCGACTCATTGCAACCTCCACCTCCCGGGTTCAAGCAATCCTCCTGTCTTAGCCTCCCTAGTAACTGGGAGTACAGGCACATGCCACGATACCCAGCTAATTTTTTGTATTTTTAGTAAAGACGGGATTTCACCATGTTAGCCAGGATGGTCTTGATCTCCTGACCTTGTGATCTGCCCGCCTCTGCCTCCCAAAGTGCTGGGATTACAGGTGTAAGCCACCATGCCTGGCTTCCCCAACCTTCTTAAAGGAAGCAGATTCTGAAACTTCCCGAGAGGAGAGGTCCCAGAGTTTTTCATTGTAGTTTACTTTCTGTTGGAACTCCTCTTCTGCTCTCTCTCCTACTCTTCTTCCTGCCCTGAGTTGTAGTAATCCTATTGCTGGCTCCAAACCAAACTCATGGATTTGTAAAGCAGAGTCTAATTTAGATTCATATGTGGTTGGATAATTGGAGCCATAAGCCTTGGGTTATCTTTCCTCAAGAGACAAATATGGTTGTGTGCTGCAGTGTGCAGGAGGATTGGTGTGGGAGGAGGGAGGGAGGGAGGACACAAAAGCAGCCCTGGTGAGAAAAGCACTGGTGCATTTATATCCACATGAGATAATATTGTTCCACAGCGGCTACAAAATGACATTTGGCCTGAGTCTACATTAATAAAGATATTGCCTTTAGAATAGGGGGGCGCACTACAGTAATCATCCATTCAAGTGGCATTTGTTGTCTGCTAGGTATTTGACTGTTTTTGCATTTAGAAAACATCGTTAAAGTAAAAACAGAAAAATTTCTGGCCTTGTCGTGTATACATTCTAGATGCAAGCTTGTCCAACCTGCAGCTCTCGGGATGCATGTGGCCCAGGACAGCTTTAGAATGTGACGATTTTTTTGCTTATCTGTAGTGGCAGATATCATGAAAATTATCCATGCATTTTTTTTCTTTTTTCTATTTTTTTCTGCTCATCAGCTGTCATTAGTGTATTTTTTGTGTGGCTCAAGACAATTCTTCTTCCTATGTGACCCAGGGAAGCCAAAAGATTGGACACCTCTGCAGGCAGATGATATAGTATAAGCAGAGTAGGAACAGAAAATGCTTGAGTTAGAAGGTGGCAAGTGCTGTGTGGCAGGTGATCCAGAGGGTGGGCTGTGGGTACAGGGAGGTGGCTGTTGTGCTGGGTGGTCAGCATGGGCCTTGTTGCAAATGTGACCTTGGAGTAAAGATTTGAGGGATGTGAGGAGTTGTCTACACGGATGTCTCAGAAAGTTCTTTTCAGGCAGGGAAACCTTCAGTGCAGATGCACTAGGGCAGGAAATTGTCTGTGTTCCTGGAAGGAGGAAGAGGCCAGAAGTGTTGAACAGAGAGAAACTGAAATGAAGTCAGAGGTGTGCCCAGAGCAGGTTGCCCTGGAGGGTGTGGGAAGGATGTTGACCTTTGCTCTGAATGACATGGGGAGTTAGAGGACAGTTTTGGAAAGTGGGACATGGTAGGACTTATCCTTTGAAAGCTTCTCTCTGGCTGCTGTGCTGAGAACAGAATTGAGAGGTGGGGGACTAGTGAGGCAGTGGGAAAAACGGTGGGAAAGGAGTGCAGTATTCCAGGATGGAGACGTCGCTTACCTTGACTGGGGTGTGAGCAGGGGAAATAGTGGGAAGTGATGGGATTCTGGATGAATTCACAGCACTTGCTAATGGATTTATCTGTGGTGTGAGAAAGAAGAATCAAGGACACCCACAGTATTGGACTGAGTGAGCAGAAGGGTGGAGCTGCTGTCAGTGGAGATGGGGAGACTCTGGCAGGAGCATACAGAGGAGAGGGCATTGCAGGCATCCAGTGGAGGTGACATCTACGAGGAATGAAGGTGAGGGGCCCAGATGCCTCTGCAGCTACAGATTCATCATCCAATCACTATCCTACTTCCACCACCCCTGTGTCTCAGAGCCAGAGCATTGATTCTCCCCTGTGCTGTCTGCACAGGTAGGTGAAAGTCAGGGAAGTTATGGTCTGCTGTTGGTTATAATAAGTCACAGATTATTGTGCTTTCTCAGATAATTAAAGAAATAACAAGAGAATTTGTAACTAGAACACTTACTGAGAAGACCACAATAATGCAAAGTTTTTTATTCATCTAAAGAAGGCAACAGAAGAAAAATAGTTGAGCAAGAAAGATAATATTAGAAGGCAGTAAATGAAAATGGACAGACTTAAACCCAATGAGGTCAACAATGACATTAAACGTAATGGACTCAGACACTCCAATTACAAGACAAATAGTGCAGAGGGATAAAAATAAATAAGTAAATAAATAAATAACCGTAGGCTATTTACAAAAGCCATAATTTCAGTAGAAGGTACAGAAAAGTTGAAAGTAAAAAGATAGAAAAGAAATACCAGACAAACATTCATGAAAGACCACATGGAGATGCCATTTAGAAAAATTACAGCACATGAGTCTCCTGAGACATAGAGTACATGTAGACAGCTCACAGTGTCTTTTTCCTTTTTTTCAGAGACAGGGTCTGTTGCCCAGGTTGAAATGCAATGGTGATATCAGACCTTACTGTAACCTCAAACTCCTGGGCTGAAGCAATTCTCCTGCCTCAGCCTTCTGAGTAGCTAGGACGAGAAGCCTGTGCCGCCACACCTGGCTATAATGTCTCATTTTCTCATTTGCTGTGGTGTGAACAAGGAAACAATATCATACCATGTATTTGACTTGCAGCAGGTACACAACAAATGTCAGGTGAATGAAGAAATAAAACCACTTAGTAATCCAAGCCATATCCACATTTACATTTTACAGGTGAGGAGCAACATCCCAGACAAGTAAAGTAAAATAAATTGATTTACATCATCCAGAGCAGAATCGAGAACACATTCCCTGTGCTAAAGGAATCAGAACTCTACTAGGGGTCATAGCAGATATCATGCAAGTCACATATGTTAATTACTAGAACTGGAGTTGATACATTTTGAGATATACTAAACCAAGGGTTTGGAAGGATTAACTGAATGCAGAAATAAAGGAAGAAAATAGATTTGTTTAAAAGATGGTTAGAATCTTTAAAGAAACAACATCTTTTTAAAGTGGCCTTATGTGGACCAAAGCAGAGATGAGCTCAAATGTCAGGTGGGAAAATGCTTGACTAAATGCAGCTCTAGACCCAAGGGAGACCTAAAAATCCTGGGACATTTTCGGTTGTCACGTGGGGATTGGTGGGAGGGGGTGAGTGGGGTGCTGCTGGCAAACCTCCCACAATGCACAGGACAGACCACAAGGGATTCTCTGTCTCAAATTCTTAATAGGGCTGCTGTTGAGAAACCCGCCCGAGAGGTAAGTGCTGTAATGTCCTCACCATTTCACAGATTAAGAAACTGAGGCACCAGGAAGAAAAGTGTCAGTAGGACCAGAGCTGAAGGTTGAATCCAGGCCACCTGGCTGCAGGGTCTTGGCTTCCCTGGTTAAGTCAGGGACCCAGGAGCCCACCACAAACAATCCCAGCTGCGCGGTGCCTTCATGGTCTGTGGCGCCCCCTGGTGTTGACACTGGGCCTGTGGCCAAATGAGGCTTGAGGGAAAAGGAAAACGGGTTTAGGTAGCGGGATCTCCTTCAGGCTCTCCAGATTTCAAGCCATGACTTACACTCAGAAAAAATAATGTTCACCTTAATTATCTCCCCAACCCTGTTTTTCCCAGTTCCGGCCAGTACCCTCCCTCGACTCCATCAACATCAGTACCTGCCAGATGCCCAGCACCCACCATGTGAGGAGTGAAAATGCCCCAGGACTAAAGGACAAGATGACGTTCCACCCCAGCCATCCCGCCCCTCCTAGAGCTCTAGCTCTGTGCATTTAGTGCTTAGGCTTTTAACCTGGGGTCCGCGAACCCACTTTCCCATGACACTGCGTGCAGAAGTGATGTTACATGCACACATGACTTCATTACAGGACATTGGATATTAATATTCATCCGATCAACTGGGGGCCCAAGATACCACTCTTCCCCCAACAGTTTGTGATCCTCTGAATTAAAGAAAGGGCAGAGATTGAGGGAGGCCCTAACTCCAAATCTTCTACCACTTCTAGGGAAGTGCTGAAAAGAAGTGCAAGGTACTCAACCCGCTCTGGGAATACAGCAGGAAAGCAGAGTGTTCATGGATTTCGAATTCCATCAAAGAAATACAACTTTGGCAAAATATCCAAGTCACTTTTCTAAGCCCCAGGCAGCAGCTCAAAACAAACAACACCAAAAACAAAACAAAATCTCGGCCCAGGTGAAATCATTGAAGACATAAAACTTTGTGAGACCTGTATTTAGAGCGAAGGACAATTCAATTTAGGGCTGCAGCAGAAAACCCCTACATCATATTGGGTTTTTCCTCATCATGAAGTTCTCCTGGAGGGACCTTCTCCCTTCAGCAGTGCATAGTGAGGCCATTTCTGTGTAAAAAGATAGAATCTCCTTGGATTCCTGATGTTTACATTTACTACTCACTTCTTTGACTTTGTAGATGCCAACTTCACATTCAACATCTTTCAATTATTTTCTTTACTTTGTCTAAGCAGAGAATTTAAACTTGTTTCTGAAGCAGAAAACCAGGGACTGGTTATTTGAGCTATCACCCCACTCTGTGGCTCTCTTATGCAATAAGCATAAGAGATTGTGGGCCAACAGAATTTGTAGCAAGATAAACATAAACCCTTCATTTCAGCCTATGTTTCTGTTTGTCTGGTGATGTTCCAGTCTTGCTCCAGTCTTAACATTTTAAAAAGTATAATTTTACTTAAATTTCATTTTATAGGAAGTCATATATATTCATTTCTGTTAGGTTTCTCAGTGAAAGCCTCCTCAAAACAACTGTGAAGTAAAGACATGTAAATAAATTCATGGTGCTCCCATGTATTCGTGCTCATTGCATCTTACAAATGTGTCAGCCCCACTGCAACAGATGGTGCATCAACAAATGGTGCTGGAAACCTGGATATCCACATGCAAAAGAATGATGCTGGACAAAATTTATGCCCTTCCATTACACCCTTTTCAAAAATTAAGTCAGAATGCCTTAAAGAACTAATCTTAAGAGTTAAACCTGTAAAACTCTTAAAAGAAAATACTGAGGGAAAGTCTTATGGTCATTAGAATTGGTAGTGGTTTCTTGGCTGGTGACCAAAAGTACAAGCAATAAAAGGAAAATGACAAATAAGACTTCATCAAAATGTAAAAACTTTTTTGCATCAAAGGACGCTATTAAGAGGTGAAAAGAGGCTAGGCGCAGTGGCTCACGCCTGTAATCCCAGCACTTTGGGAGGCCAAAGTGGGTGGATCACCTGAGGTCAGGAGTTCGAAATCAGCCTGGCCAACATGGCAAAACCCTGTCTCTACTAAAAATACAAAAATTAGCCGGGCGCAGTGGTGGGCACCTGTAATCCCAGCTACTCGGGAGGCTGAGGCAGGAGAATCGCTTGAACCTGGGAGGCAGAGGTTGCAATGAGCTGAGATTGCACCATTGCACTCCAGCTGGGGCATCAGAGAGAGACTCCGTCTCAAAAAAAAAAAAAAAAAAAAAAAAAAAAAAAAAAAAAGTGAAAATAAAAGAAACTGCATAGAATAAGATAAAATATTTGCCAATCACATATCTGATAAAGAATTAATATCCAGACTACATACAGAACTACAACTTAACAATAGCAAAACAATCTCATTCAAAAATGGGTAAAAGACATGAATAGACAATTCTCCAGAGAAGATACACAGTAAGGACATAAAAATAAGGAATTCCAATAAGGACATGAAAATATGCTCAGCTTCACTAGTCCAGGTGTTGGTGAGGATGTGGAGAAAATGGAATGCTTGTGCACTGCTGCTGAGAGTGAACAACAGTGCAGCCATCATGGAAACAGGATGACGCTTTCTCAAGAAGGTAAACATAGAATTTCCATATGAAGCAACAATTCCACTTTTGGGTGTATACCCCCCAAAAATTGAAAGCAGGTATGCACACAGATAATTGTACAGTCATGCTCATAGCAGTGCTATTCCCAATAGCCAAAAGGTGGACGCAACCCAAGTGTCCATCAGAGGATGATTGGAAAAACAAAATGTGGTGCATATACACATGGAATATTAATCAGCCTTAAAAGTGAAGAATATTTGGATTGGATGGAACCTTGAAAACACGCTAAATAAAATAAGCCAAAAAAAAGGCAAATATGATATTTCACTTATATGAGGCACCTAGAATAAGCAAATTCACAAAAACAGAAAGTAGAATACAGGTTACCAGGGGCTGAAGGCAGGAACAATGGGCAGCTGTCATTTAATGGGTACAGTCTCTGTTGGGATGATGAAAATGTTCTGAAAATGCATGTTGGTGTTTGTGTAACCACCATCAATTGTAAATGTGCTTAATGCCAATGAATTGTACACTGAAAAAAATTGTTAGAAGGTAAATCGTATAGTATGTGTGTTTTACCACAATTTTAAAAATATATATCAACACCAAATCCAATCACTTCTCACTCCTCTGCCACCTCCACCCCAGAACCATCCTCACTAGGATAGAAAACCGGAAGGGCCTTCCAGCTGGGCTGCCTGCTGACTCTCATGCCCACTGTCCATCACCCACACAACAGAGAGAGCGTGCCTTTCCAATGGGAATTAGGGCATATCCTATGAACGCTCCAGCTCCTTCCCTTCTTAGGCACAAGGAAACCCCAGTTTCCCACCATTTCCTATGCACTCCTTATCACAGGGTCCCCTCTGGCCACTTTGGCCTCATCCCATTACTCTCAGCCTAGCTCATTCTTCTCCACTCACACCAGTTTCTTGTCTACTCCACCCTGTCTCCACCACCTGCCCCTGCTGTGACTCCCACATGCATGTGCTGCCCAGTGATCCACATGGCTCACTCCTCACACCATTAAGGTCCCTGCTTAAATGTCCCATGGTCAAGTGTTCAGAAATGTCTTGTCCAGTGACCTCTTCTGAAATCTATCCCCTGCCATTCCCACCACCGCCACCAATCTTCTAACCCAAGCATATTTTTCTTAATGGCAATTATCAGTGATACTATGACAGGTTTTATTTGTTTATTGTCTGTTGATTTATTAAGGTTACCAAGAAAGAAAGAACCAATAGCATAGGTACATAGATGATAGATAGATAATAGATAGATAGATGATAGATGATAGATAGATGTTAGATGATGATAGATAGATAGATAGATAGATAGATAGATAGATAGATAGATAGACAGACAGATAGATAGATAGGTGATTTATTGGGCTAATTGGCTCACACAATTATGGAGGCTGAGAAGTCCCATGATAGACTGTCTGGAAGCTGGAGAACTAGAAAAGCCAGTAGCGTGGCTCAGTCCAAAGTCAAAGCCCTGAGGACCCAGAATACAGAACAGGAGGATAAAGGGGCTCACTGGTGCAAAAGTCAGAGTCCAAAGATCATCGAACCTGGAGTTTTGATGTCCAAGGCAGGAGAAGAAGGGTGTCCCAGCCCCAGTTCCAGAGAGAGAGACAGAGACAGAGAGAGACAGAGAGACAGAGACAGAGAGAAATTTTACTTCTATCTACCTTTCTGTTCTATCTGGGCCACTAGGTGATTGGACTGTGGCTGCCCACAGTGAGAGAGCATCTTCCCCACCAGTCCACCCACTCACATCCCTTCCAGAAAAACTCTCACAGACACTGGTTTAATACTTACAATTTGAGTAGTCTATAATTTATTTTTTTGAGATTGGGCTTGCTGGCTGGAGTGCAGTGTTGTTCATGGCTCACTGCAGCCTGAATCTTCCAGGCTTAAGCAACCCTCCCACCTCAGACACCCAAGTAGCTGGGACTACAGGCATGTGCCACCAAGCCCGGCTAATTCTTTTGAATTTTTTGTAGAGACAGGGTTTCTCTATGTTGCCTAGGCTGGTCACAAACTCAGGGGCTCAAGCAATCTGCCAGCCTGAGCCTCCCAAAGTGCTGGAAGTACAGGCATGAGCCACCATGTCCATCCTGAGTGTTCTATGAATTTTTAAAATCACAACCATAGAAGAATCTTCATGTACAAACATGCTTGTCAAAATATTCTTTACCAAAAGACAAGATGAAAGCACATGGATCTAAAAGAACCCTGGTGACTTCTCCTTGTTTGAGATGGGATGCAGCTTCTAGAAGTGTGTAAATTTTATGCAGACTTTATGACATGGAAAACTACTTTCATAATAATACATTCAAAAAGCAACTTCAAAATAACCCACAACCACTCTGGGAGGCCAAGGTGGGTGGATCACTTGAGGTCAGGTGTTCAAAACCAGCCTGGCCAACAAGTGTAACCCCATCTATATTAAAAACACAAAATTAGCCAGGCGTGGTAGTGCACATCTGTAATCCCAGCTACTCGAGGGGCTGAGGCAGAAGACTCACTTGCATCCGAGATGCAGAGGTTGCAGTGAGCCGAGATCATGCCACTGCACTCCAGCCCCTGGGGGACAGAGTGAGACTCCATCTTAAAAAAAACCCCAAAACTTATGAATGCAACTTTCTACAATGAAAGCATATATAAAAATATATACATAGAAAACAAAAGAATGGAAGTCAGCATCACTGCAGAAGATAGCTCCAGGGATGACCATTCACACTGCAGTCCAGGAAGTTTCAATAATATGATAGCAGTGGTTCTTTGGAGGGGAAGCCTGGGTGATATTTCTTTCTTCTCTGCATTTTTTTTTCTTTAAAATTCAACCAGGTGTTGATGTGTGCATTTTAAATTCTTCTGTAATCAAATACATTTTCATATTTCTAATGTAGAAACATGTATTTTTAACATTCAAAATAAAACATTTGAAGTAAAATAACAATGAAAAGTGGCTGAACACTGTGGTGGGCACCTGTAGTCCCAGCTACTCAGGAGGCTGAGATAGGAGAATGGCTCGAGCTCACGAATTTGAGGCTATGGTCACACCTGTGAATAGTCACTGCTCTCCAGCCTGGAGAACATAGTGAGACCTCATATTTAAAATAATAATAATAAAAAGAAGTTCAGATCTCCTTCCAATCTCAACCTAAAACAAATTTCTCATTTGAAGTCCATATGGCAGAAATGCCTACTGATGGCTCCTCCAGAGAGTAAAAAAAATATTGTTCCTCTACAATCCATGACTCATCCTTCTGTTACAGTGTTCACCTGGGCAATGAAGTCAACACTGAGAATATCATCAATTTATGGAATACTGATTATCTCTTTTATAGATATATAAATTATAATTATGTATATATATATTATATTATAATATATATAATTACCATCACACCTGAGAGAGTGAGATGGATTCTTTTCTTCCACAGATGAAAATCTGAGTCCCTGAGAACCTAGGGTTTTGGTATGGGTTCACTGAAAATGTTGGCCTTGAGAATTAGGAAACAGCTTCCTGCAGGCCTGCCTGGATGTGAGCCACACCAATGGAGTCTCCACAACAGCAGGAAGAGCAACTGAGAACCCTGGAAGCTTCACACTTGTAATGTTCCATGTCCAGCGGCATTCAGTTGATGGATGGGCCAAGATAAGAATACAGCTCCTTCCTTCAATTGGGGGTGGCAGAGGGGTGAATCAGTCAGCTACACATAATGTGTGTGGTGTTTCTACAGATATCTTTAATTACTCTGCTGAGAACTCCACCTCAAATGTACAAAAACTCTGTACTCACTGGTAAGCAGGATCCTTTTTAGGAAAGCAAAGGACTTTGCTGACTTAAGCAAAACATTTTCTCTCCAAATGAATTATCCTGATTGGATAATCTCTTACTCCCACTGAAATTAGCCCCAGAGTTGCATTTGAGCATTTGGGTCAAAGACAGAAAGTCATTTTGAGGGTTGGGCCTGGCTGATCTTGGACAATGTTCTGAAAGAGGGCTTTCTACTTGCAGAAGAACAAAGGTTTGCTCTGGGTAGGAGATGATGTCCTGAGAAGAAAAGACAGATAGGCAGATTCTCAAGCAAACTCAGGAGTTTACTATACAAAAGATTTTGGAATACCTTCCTCAGCCTCTTTTTCATTGTGGTAAAATACACATAAACACAAAGGATACCACCGTAACCATTTAAAGTGCACAATGCAGTGACAATTTGTATGTTCACAATGTTATGTAACCATCATCACTCTCTAGTTCCAGAGTGTTTTTATCACCTCAGGGGGAACTCTGCACCCATTAAGCAGTCACCCTCCATTTCCACCTGCCAGCAGACCCTGTCGCCACAAATCCACTTCTTTCTCTATCGACTTGCCTCTTATGAATATTTCACAAAAATGGGCTCATAAGTTACGTAGCCTCCTGTGACTGGCTTCCTTCACTTGTCTTGTTTTCAAGATTCAGCAATGTTTTAGCATATGCCAGTGCTTTATTCATTTTATGACCAAATAATATTCTATTGTAGGAAAAAACTATATGTTGTTTCTCCATTCATTGGTCGATGGACATTTTCTTTTAAATCAAATAGGAAAAACAAGAGAGGAATTACAAATATATATATGTGTGTGTGTATATATATATGTCTTGTAGGGTTGAGACCATCTCAGTCAGCTTTTTTTAACCTGTGAATGTCGTGATTTCTCCATCATTTCTGAAGGAGAGTTTTGCAGACATACAATTCTTGGTTGATAGTCCTTTTACTTTCTCAGCTTTAAATTTGTCATCCCAACGCCTCCTGAACCCCATGGTTTCTGATGAAAATTTGTATGTTAATCTTATTGAGGATCCATTGTACCTGAAAAGTTCCTTCTCTGTTATTGCTTTCAAGATGGTCTGTTTGTCATTGGTGTAGACTGGTTGATTATAACGTCTCTCAGTGTGGACTTCTAAAATTCTTGCTGCTTAAAATGTATCAAGTTTGTTGGATGAGTAAAATTATATTTTTCATCAAATTTAGGAGATTTGAAGTTATTATTCCTCCAAATAGCCATTCTTCTTTTTCTCTCTCCTTTCTTTGAGGATTCCCAAAATGCATATGCTTGGTGTTGTCTCACAGTTTTCTTAAGTTCTGTTCATTTTTCTTCATAATTTTTTTTTATTTCTGCACCTCAAACTGGATAATTTCAATTGTCTTACCTTTAAGCTTGCCGATTCTTCATTCTGCATAGTGAAAGTTGCTTTTGTAAAAAAGTAAATAGTAAATTTACTCTAGTAAAATATAGTAAAAAATAGTAAAATTACTCTAGTAAATTTTTCATTTCAGTTATTGCACTTTTCAGCTCCAAAATTTCTATTTGGTTTCTTTTTAAACTTTCTATCTTTTTATTGATGTTCTCTATTTGAGTTAAGATAGTTCTTCTGATTTCCTTTAGTTTTTTGCCCATAGTTTCCTTTAGCTCTGTGAACATATTTAAGCAGTCAATTCAAAGTTGTTTGTCCAGTAAGTATGTTCAATGGCCTTTCTCAGGAACAGTTTCTGTCAATTCCTCTTTTTTCTTGAGAATGGGTCTTACTGTCTAGTTTAATTGCATACCTCATTTTTATTTTGAATACTAACATGTGGTGACTTTGAAAATCATGTTTTCTAAACTATTTTTGTATAGACTGTATTCTTTATTGTGTGTCATCACTGAAGTCTCTATTCTGTAAGCTTAGTGGTCAACTCATGATTTGATAGATATTTCCTGAAACATCTTCAGCCAAAAAGAAATAAGAAAAGAAAATTCAATCTTTTTATCTGGGCTCTCTGTGTGTTTTGGGGCATGCCCTCAACACTCTGCTGGGCAGTTTACAATACTGCTTTGGCCTTCATTTCCTACTTGTGCAGATATTGAAAGTTAGCAAGAGGTGTGAACACAGGGCATTCTCAGGTGCTTTGTGAGTCTGTGCGACATACTGGTCATGAAGGAGGCTATACAGATTCCCAGGGATATGGAAGCTTTTCAAAACCCATATTCCCATCTCACTCACCCAGTTTCTCCTCCAGGCTTTTCTGTATGTCTATTACCTTTCTCATGTAATATATTTTTGCCCCAAGGGGGCAGCTGCTGGTTCAGTGGCACTTAAATGGTTTTAGCAGATGCCCTCTGCCTCTGTGACCTAAGAGAGTTCTGAGTAGGGAAAATAAATGCAAACCATTTATTTTCTTTTTCTTTCTTTTTTTTCTTTTTTTAGACAAGGTCTTGCTCTGAAGCCCAAGCTGGAGTGCAGTTGCACGATCCTGGCTCACTGTAGCCTCAACCTCCTGGGCTTAAGCAATCCTCCCACCTCAGCCTCTTGAGTAGCTGAGACTACAGGCACATGCCATAATGCCCAGTTAATTTTTGTATTTTTTGTAGAAATGGAGTTTCACCATGTTGTCTAGGCTGGTCTCAAACTCCTGAACTCAAGAAATGCACCCAGCTGAGCTTCCCAAAGTGCTGTGATTACAGGCATGAGTCACCATGCCCAGCCCAATGTAAGCCATTTCTTATCATCCTTCACGGAGTCACCCAACAGGAAAAGGTAGACAACCACAACACTTTGAGAACATGGTCCACTCGGCTCCCACTGGCATTGGAGCCCACACTAAGGAACCAGGCTGCTGTCTTCAAGATCACTACTGACTTGAACAGGGAGGAATGGGCCAAGGGTAAGATATGGTGCCACAAAGCTCTGCTCCTGAGTTCCAGTTGATTTTTCTGGACTTGCTAGGTTGCAATAAACCTTTGATGATTTTTCAGGGTTCCAATGCAGTTGATTCTTTATCAACCCAATCAGAATATCTGGTGGTAGGTCCAGGAATTCTTGCTTTAACAGCTCTCCGAGGGAATTTTTTTTTTTTTTTTTTTGATGGAGTTTTGCTCTTGTTGCCCAGGGTGGAGTGCAATGGCATGATCCCGGCTAACTGCAACCTCTGCCTCCCGGGTTCAAGCGATTCTCCTTCCTCACCTCCCGAGTAGCTGGGACTACAGGCGCGAGCCACCACACCCAGCTAATTTTGTATATTTAGTAGAGACTGGGATTCTCCATGTTGATCAGTCTGGTCTCGAACTCCTGACCTCAGGTGATCCCCCCACCTCGGCCTCCCAAAGTGCTGGGATTACAGGCATGAGCCACCATGCCCAGCCAAGGGATTTTTTTTTATAGTGATGTTTTACAAGCACATTGTCTCTGTGCAGAGGTGGCCCTTGGAGTTCCTATGCCACTATGTTCTCTGATGTCACTCCTCAGCCACCTTTGAATTGTGCTTATGCATCAGAATTCCTGATCTGCTAAGTACTTCCAGGAAACTCATTCAAATGGTAAACATCATTAAGCACCTACCTTATTCTGGGTACTGTGCTCTATGGAGTTGAGCCTCAGATAAAAGAATCAAACTTCCTTGGACTTCATAGAAGTCAAAGGTGGGGGTGGGAAGATAAATAAAGAAATTATAGCACAGCATGTTATGTATTTTACATGACTTTTTTCTTTGAAAGCTACATTATTAATATTTTATGACAGTACTGAGTTACATATACCAAAGATTACAAATTAAAATTTATGCTTTCTTTCTCTCTTTTGTTCTTACATATTTCTCTGTTCTTGTAGATATTTTGAAATTGGGTATTATGGAGACAGTGCAACAGTTTCATTTATATGATAATGTTTTGTTTTACCTTTATTCATCAAAGAGAGATTTGTCAGCTGCAAATTTCTAGTTTGACATTGGTTTTCTCTCAGATCTTTGATGATTATGTTGCTTCTGGCTGCTGTGGCTGACAGGGGATAGTCAGTTACATTTTAACCAGTTGCTTCTTAGAGGATCTGTGTTTCTCCTGTGGCAAATTTTAAGATATCTGTTTCTCTTTAACATCTTCTGTTCCAGTGCAGTATGAGTAAATGTGGATCTCTTTTTATTCACAGTGCTATGATACTGTTAGGTATGAGTTCTAAATTTCTCTTAAAATAATTAACATGTCAGTATGTTCAATTCTTTGCCCTCTACTTTTAAACTTAACTTCCTCATAAAGCAACCTTTTTTGATCACCTGTTCCACCCTGACTCATCCTGATTACTTGCTCCAGCCTGACTCATTCTGGTTACCTGCTCCACCCTGACTCATTCCAGTCACCTGCTCCACCCTGACTCATTCTGATTACCTGCTCCACCCTGACTCATCCTGATTACTTGTCCCAGCCTGACTCATTCCAGTTACCTGCACCACCCTGACTCATTCTGATCACCTGTTTCACTCTCTTTAAATTAGCCAATCTGAATTAGTTTAGCCTGTGCGGTCTAACCCTAGCCAATAGGGGAATAACACAGCAGCAGGGGCCACGTGCATCAGGGATAAGAACCCCTTCCCCTTCCTTGTCCAGGGGTGTGCTCACCATTGCTCCATCTGTGAGGGCACACCCTTGTATAGAAGTAATTGCCTTGCTGAGAAGAAAAAAAGAAAATTTTATATTTGAGTGCTATTTCTTTGTGGCATCAAGACTTTATTTACAATAATACATTTCCTTAATATTTTAAGATAACCTCTTTCTGGAATGCCTCTTTCCATTTACTCACTTCTCTTCTTCTAGGAATTTAATTAGAGAAGAATTAAATTAAACCTCATTCAACCACCATATACACTGTGGAATCCAAAATAATGGCCTCACACATATGTCCAAGCCCTAAGACGCAGACCATTTAGATATGTTACTTTACACAGCAAAAGGGACTTTGCTGATATGATTAAGAGCATGGACCTTTAGATGTGGAGATTATTTTGTATTATTTGAGTGGCCCCAATCTGATTGCATGATTTCTTTAACCTGGAGATGACTGGAGAAATATGGGTCAGATGGAGTGCTGAATTTCATCTAGAATAATTTCTTAATCTAGTAAAATAACATCATCTCTGTTTTTTATTCTTTAATTAAGTGGCAAAATGCATTAAAAGGTTTAAAGTTTAAATATCCTTGCATTCTTGGGCTATATACCTTGGTCAAGACAGTCTGTTTATAACACATTGGTTAATACAGTCTACTAATATTTTTCTTAGAATTTTCACATCTAATTAATTAAAAGTGATTTTCCTATAATAGGTAAATAGTAGAAGGGGGTAAGTCTCTTATTTTACAAATTATTCAAATAATACATGAAAAGAAATGGAAGACTGAGACTACAACTCTTTGCCATCCGTAATGAATGAACAGATCTAGCCACTGAACAGCAATGACAATTTTCATCACCAAAGGGAAATAACCAGTATTAAACTCTTCCCCTTGTTGAAAAACATGATATAGTACCACCAAAACTCACGGGGAAAAAAATCTGAATAGATGCAAACCTCTATACCAAACTACAAATTTCTAGAAAATGCAGGTAATAGAGATGCATATTAAACCATAGTTTGGGGTGCAATCCACAAAATACAAACAACAGGAAACTCTACCAGACAATATTAATTTCAAAGGGATAACCTATAGAACAAATAAGAACAAAAAACTTATTTTTAAAGGTAAAACTAAACTATCATTTGGGATGATGAAAATATAAAATAGAACAAAGAAGTGAGGACCACAAAAGTCAGGATGTGATGGATTTTTATTTGAAAAAATAAAAATTTACTATTGAACTGGGTCAATTGATGGGGCTTCTAGGTCAGCTGACAAACTTCTCTCTCTTTCTGATGGTTAAAGAGTGTTTACTGTTGATTAAAGGTCACCATTTTAAGATTTTTTTTCTTTTATGTCACCTGTGTTTTATGACAAAAAGGCGAACGCAGAATAAAATGAGTTATGGGGCACGGTTCCTGTTCTGCACAAAGCCTCCTCCCCATCCTCCTCTCTGGACACTGAGCACCCAGAACAACCGGCAGCCCCAGGACCCCTGGCAGGGCTGTCTCATTACTGAGTGTGCATCCAGCTCCACGGTTCCTGTTCTGCACAAAGCCTCCTCCCCATCCTCCTCTCTGGACACTGAGCACCCAGAACAACCGGCAGCCCCAGGACCCCTGGCAGGGCTGTCTCATTACTGAGTGTGCATCCAGCTCCACGGTTCCTGTTCTGCACAAAGCCTCCTCCCCATCCTCCTCTCTGGACACTGAGCACCCAGAACAACCGGCAGCCCCAGGACCCCTGGCAAGGCTGTCTCATTACTGAGTGTGCATTCAGCTCCACGTCGCTGGAGACAATGTCCACAGTTTATTTCTTGAGTCCTGGATGAACCTGACAGGACATAGCTGAGGGGAAGCCTGGCCCAGTCTGCAGGCTTTGGCCATCAGTGTAGAGGGAGGAGGTCCTCATCTCTCCACTGGAGCAGTTACAACCAGAGCCTCCTCTCTGCGTGGGAGTGAGGCTCGGTCCTTCCCCTGAACACGGTGACAGGGATCTCTCCACAGGTAGAGATGACACCATTCCTCCTGTAACATGGTCCAATCTCACGCTTGTTCTGCTTTACAAGAAAGTTGACCCACGCTGGTGTCCCCTGAAGAAATCACAGGCACAGAGGAGGGACAGGTGGATTTCAGGGCTGTGCTTGATCTGGGAAAGGAAGAGTGCAGACCGCCAGGTGGCGCCGCTGCACTGCTTCTGCGCCCAGGAGGTGCCTGCTGGGGCTGAGATTGAAGGTGGGGAGAAGGATGTCACAGCTCATCGCACAGGTTCCCGGTAAAAATCCTCCTGCCCAGCCTAGCGGGCTCTCCCTTAATCAACTGTAGCGAAAACTGTCTCCTTCTCACGTTCCTGGAAGGTGCTTTTTGACACAAGAAAGAGGATGTGATTGCTAGGGTCATCATGTCATTGTTTATTGTGTTGCCAGTAAAGTGAAATCAAAATACACAATAAATAATAAAATAACCCATGATAAGCCAATGTTTATAATGTACTAACACCACTGAGCCAGTGTTTATAATGTACTGACACACTCCAAGTGTGGGCACAGCTGCAGACATGCCTTGTCTCTTGGGTCAGGACACAGGGTAGAGTGAAATGGAAAGAAATCCCAGTCACTGCAGAAAAGGGCCCCCATGGAAGAGGCCTGGCAGGGAGGCCAGCTGTCCCAGGGCCGCCATATTTAGGGATGACTCCCCCTTTCTGGGCAGCACTGGTTTTTTTAATTATTTTTGCATTCACAGTAGTTCTGAAATTGCAGGATGCTGAGACCCAGCACTGGTCAGTTACACCGTCTCTTCTTCACCATTAAATACTGTGCCAAACAGCACCTTCATACATTTCCATCCTCTTCCAGGAGAGAATCAAAACAACAATGGACACATTGATGCATGCAAAAATACTTTAAATATGTGCTATCAGAAGTAGCTACTAAAACATTAATTCCACTGAAATGAGGGAGGCTGTAAAAAAGAAAAACATTGCATACCCGTATTCACAGCAACATTACTCACCATAGCCAAGACAAGGAAGCAAACAAAGCACCCATCAACACATGAATAGATGAAGAACATGTGGTCTATGTAGGCAATGGAATATGATTCAACCTTAAAAAGAAGGAAATTCTGTTACATGCTGCAACATGGATGAACCTGGAGAACAATGCTAAGTGTAATAAGCCAATCACAAGGAAATTCCAATACTGCGCAATTCGTTATATGCGGCGTCTAAACTCTTAGAACCTGAAAGTAGAATGGCGGCTGCCAGTGGTTAGGCTGGGGGGATTCTTGAGGAGATTTTCAGCGTAGAGTTTCAGTTTTGCAAGATGAAAAGTTCTAGAGATCTGTTGCATAACAATGTGCTACAGTTCATATTATAGTACTCTATACTTAAAAATTGTTACGATACCAAATTTTATATAATATGGATTTTGGCGCAATGAAAAAAATAATTAGCTCTGATACCAACTTAGGAAAAGAGCACATGAATTTATTGAAAATATATTAGCATGTGCTTACTATGAAAAAGAGATGCAGAAAACTGTGAGACAAAAAGAGAGATCCTTGCTACCCCAGCTATTATCCATGAACCAGCAGAACCAGCATCTCATGAAACTGGACAGAAAGGCTCACAGGCCCAGCCTTGACAGGTTGATCAGTCTGCATTTGTCAGGACCCCAGGTGGCTCCACTGCATGTAAAGCACCGCCCCAGATGGTGGTGGAGGGAGATCCTAGGAAGGTGACTCTGTCCCACAGGTAGAAGCCTCCAGTCCAGATGGGAGCAGCCAGAAGGGCCCAGGAGGGACATTTCCAAGAAAGTAAAATTAATAGAAAGTTCAAAGTCTCTAATTTCTTAACAGAGTCACAGAAATGGAACAGATATCAAAGTTAAATTAATGAGAGTTATCTAGAACATAAACAAAAACAAAGGCAAGTATTAACTTGAGGAAGAACAAATACTACGAAGCAAGTGAAAAGTAGTCAAGTTGACATATGAGAAGATGAGTCACGGAAAAAGAAACAAGGAGTGGCTGAATTAAACATAATTACTATATAAATATACTGGGAAAAGGAAAGAACGGGAAGAGTGAAAGAGAACAAGTGATGGATGTGGTGACGTCGCGTTCTCCCGGGCGGGGCCGGAGGCGGTACAGATGAGGGACACATTCATGGCTAACAGGACCGCTCTTCTCGTTCTGCGTTCTGCTTGCGGCCGGTAGTCTCTCCTCCCCGCCCATGGGCGGTGGTTGGAGGCAGGGGTGCGGAATCCGGCCGACCTCGCTGTCCTCGCCCTCTACCTTGTGGCGTCGGTGGGGTTGGGGAGATGAGTTCTCCGACGCAGCAGGCACCCCTGCTCATCTCCTATGGCTGTTGCCTTTTGGGCAGCCCCTCTTCGCGGCGGTGGGGCTGTCCCGCCGGCCTGTCACGTTGCCCTTCCCTGGGCTTGTGAGGATTGGCTCCGCTTGGACCTTTGCGGTGCTCCCGGAGCCCTCCAGGTTGTCCCTCCGGTGCCGGAGGCCAAGCGGTGGTGTCCTTCCTGTTCCCAGCGCCCCCTCCTCCTGTCGCTGCTGCAGTGCCTGTGTGTGGGTCCTGAGGGGTTTTGGGGAGGTAGAATATTTTTATTTATTTAAATAAATTAAAAAATAAGAAAAAAATACAAAAAGAAAGAGAACAAGTAATCTTAACTATTGATTCCACCATCGTGCAGTGCAATAGTCAATGGCTGCAACTGAAAAATCAAGCAATGTTAACAAAGAAATGGTGCTTTGGTGCTTAGATATGTGAAAGTAAAGTCAAAAGAATCAGCTGAAACTTGAAAGTGGTTGCTCCCTAGAAAGGCAGAAACAGAGAAGAGAGGACTCTCCCTAGAAAGGCAGAGAAGACTCGTTTTTCTCAGGAAGTCCTGCGCAAATATTTACTCTTTCAATTATGTGCAATTGTAACTTCGAATAAAATAAAAACAAAAGCTTCAGTTAACATGCAAGTTTATGCCTAATGACAACTTTGTTTAACAATGATAAAAGGCTAACCAAAATATAAAAACACTTAAACATAAAACAGCATGTATAAATGTGTATGTGACATCAACCCTGAATACAAACTTGAAAGAATATGTCTATAAACAACTCTGGATAGATAGCCCATGAATGAATTCCCCACTCCAGCATCTTTACTGGTTGTCCTGTGAGCCTAGGCAGGGAGGGGACCAGGACCTGACTAGGGTCCCTAATACTCTTGCTTCCAGGCAAGTCCTGCATACACTCCTGCTGCACCGAGGGCTCCCATCCCTGCCTTGGTCTGTTTCATAGGTGCTCCCCTAACTCTCTGCCACCACTGCCTTACCTGGGTGGAGCTGAGGCCGCCCTGACCAAGAAGAGCGCCACCCATCTATGTGCCCCAAAACCAGAAAGTCAAAAGAAACCTTGCAACAGGGTCAGGAACTATCCCACCTCCCCACCTCCGAATCAGTCTGAACTGATGGCGGGAGATGCTGATGCTTGCTTTATTCATCCTCATTCACTGTGCATTTATTTTTCACTAATTCAGTCCACATCTCCTAGAAGCAGACTGACCCCTACCCTTCATAATCAGGAAACCCCAGAGCACTTTTTGTCCCCTCCAGAATATAACACTTCAGCTCTGCATCATCACATGAGGGCTCCAACTCTGTAGGGCAGGTGTACTCTCACAGCTTCAGGCCCTGAACATTTGCTTCAGATGTACCCCCATCCCTTCCCAGACCTGTCTGTGTTGCTCTGAATCTGTCCTTCCCTGAGAACCGATGGGGAGATATCAGGGAGGAGGGGAGATTTCTTTGTGCTATGTCAATGCATCTAGACAGAGCTCTCATTCTCCCTTGAACCTCAACTCTATCCCTTCCCAGACACTTGAAATAAAACACAGACCAGAAATGTCTATTTAGAAGCTAAATATCTATAGTATAAAATATGAAGACAGAGTAGAATGGGGTAATGCAGGAGAGTGTGACAGGGCAAGGGGACCTCAACGTGCCAGGAAAGTTGGTCCTTGGCTCCCCTGGAGGAGCCGTCACCAGGACACTCACTCATAAAGCTCACCTGTGATAATACAATTACATGACATTTAATGTATTAAAATATAATAAAATCATAACAAAATAACAAAAATAATATGGCACAGCTGCAAACACCTCATATATACTAACAATTTTCATCCACCCAACCACAAGAAATAAATGCTGTTACATTCCCTATTTCATAGATGAGAAAGCTGAGCCAGCAAGAGAAAAAGTGCTGGTGAGACCTGGGCAGGGCGTTCAATCCAGGCCGCCTGGCTGCAGAGTGTAGGTGCCCTCAGTAGAGCCAGTGGACCTGCGAGCTGACAGCGGAGACTGAAATCCCGGCTGTGCACTGCCCTGGTGTTCTCCTGTCTGAGTCAGGTGTTGATCTGGGCCTTGCAGACTCATGTGCTCTGGAGAAAAGAGAAAAAATAGTAAGTGCTCCCCTGGGTGCACAGTGCTGCTTTTTACTCCCTGAGGACTTCTCCCTCCTCAGTCAGTCCCAAATCAGATTCACCCTTTCTCCGAGGGAAGATGACGTCTGCACTTTTTTCTCCCTCCCATGGCACTTTTCCCAGCCCCTGCCAGTCCCCTCCCATGACTCCATCAACATCAGCCCCTGCCCTGTGCCCACCACCCACCAAGCAAGGAGGAAAAGAGCCCCAGGACCAAAGGACAAGACCTGGGAAAAACCCAGTGCCCTCCCCTCCTCTCAAGCCTGGCCAGCTCTGACAGTGGGAGGACTCCCCAAAGAGAGGCTCTGGCCCTGGCTCCATGTCCTTCCAGGCCTGGGCTGGGTCACACGCACAGTCCTTCTCTCCCTCAGTCCCCAGTCCCACCTCACCTGTAGAGACACCTGCACACAAGGGCAGGCCCTAAACACTGTGGTTCTGCCCTCCACCTGCAGCTCAGTGCTCCTCCACTTCCAGCCCTGAGCAGGCAGCTCCTAACTGGGAAGCCCATTAAGAATCCCATCAGCACGGCAGGCCCAGCATGGAAACATGTAGCTGCTATGGGGTCTGCAGCTGACCTGACCCTGGGAACCCCCTTGCTCAAGGAGGCCCTGCCTACCCTGACCCCCAGGCCCATGACCTGCACTTGGGCCAAGCTTGCTCCAGCCTGGTCCACTCATCCCTGGAAGCACAGCTTCTCCCCAGGGCTGCTGCTTGGGGAGGCTGAAAGGCCTTTCTCTCCTGTTCCTAGCAGGGATTCCTAGCAGGGATTCCACCCAAGCCACTGCCCTCACAGCCCATAGGGGATCTTCTTCTCCCTGTGGAGTAGAAAGTTTCTTGAGACCCCTCAGCCTGAGGCTGCCTCTGCCCACCCTTTGCACTTGGGGATTGCCACTGCCACAGCCACCGTCTCCCACATGGACCGTCCTGGAGAGGGAGCTCCACATTTGAGTTCCTGTTTCATTTGATATGCATTACAACATTAGTATTGGTGGAAATCCTTTTAAGACCCAGCTGAAACTACGAACATCTTTATTGGACATCAGCATTTAAAGCAGGAATTTTGAGAAATTAGCACATAACTTTCTCACCCCTTTCCTGGCCAATGCCCCAGTAACCTACAAGGCAACCGTTCCCGCCCACGGGGAACCAGAACTGACAATCCCTCTTCAGGAGACACCACAGGTGAGAGCAGGAGCGACCACAGACCTGCACTGCCCCTGCTGTGGGTGCCTCCTGGACAGGGCCCTCTTGCTGCAGGGCAGGGGATGAACCATCCCATCTGCCCAGGCCTGAGGGGCCAACTGACAGTGCAATTAGGTTCAAGGATGAGAAATCACCACCCCCTGCCAGATACACAGAAGTGGGGAAATGGCAGAAAGACTCGGGTTTCCCAGACACTCCAGGCTCTCAGTGTCTCCTGCACTGTCTCTGTCTTTGCAGAAACACAAAACTTGCTGCTTGCTCTTTTCCCCTCCCTTCAAACAACCTGACTGTGCGGGAAATCATCCTGACCATCTCTCACTCCAAACTCAGGTAGTGCTTATTCTTTCAAAGGTATTTTGTGACTGTGCAAGCAAATATAAATGTATATGTATATGTTCTTTCTCCCTTTGCACACAAATTTTAGCAAACTATATATGCTTTTCTGTACCTTGCTGTTTTCCCTTACCATTGTATCATGGAGACCATCCCATGAAGAAATATCAAGAACTACACTATGTCTTTCTTTTTTTTGTTCAAAATTTTCTTGGCAATCCATTGTATAGGTGTGCATTTTTTTAAATAGAGATTACCCTTTTTGAATGCAATGCTTTTTAACCAGCTCCCTGCTGATAGGCATTTGGATTATTTCTTTCAGAGAACAATTTGACATCATGTAGCATCATTTGGGAAGGGTGCAGTGACCCCACTCCTACATGCATATCCTAGGGGAGCTCATGTATTCTTGGAACCAGAAAGCAATGTCCCAGCATGTTCATTGCAGCAGTGTCTTTAATAGAGACTATGTAGAGGTCAATGAAGTGGGGAAGAGATAAATTGTAGCATATTCCTTCCATGGAATACTATCTAGCAATGAAAACAAATGAACTATTTGTGTGAACATTGATCCATGTCATAGACCATGTTAACGGAAAAAGCAAGCAAATGCATAACAAAATCAGCAAGAAACAATTTATAAAAAGTCTAAAAGTAAAGCCAGGCAAGGGGGCCTATACCCGTAATCCTAGCATCTTGGGAGGCCAAGGTGGGCAGATTGCTTGACCCCAGACGTTCCAGACAAGTCTGGGAAACATGATAAATCCCTTTCTCTACAAAAAATACAGAAATTAGCCAGGCATGGTGGCGTGAACCTCTAATCCCAGCTACTCAAGAGGCCTAGAAGGGAGGAATTGCTTAAGCCTGGCAGGTAGAGGCTGAAGTGAGTTGTGTTTGTGCCACTGCATTTCAGTCCAGGTGACAAAGTGAAACCATGTTAAAAACAAACAAACAAACAAACAAAAACAAGAGACTTTTTAAAACTTAGTAAGAATATAGGGGCATACAGCAAATTCAAGACACACATTCACCAACAGTTCTTGCTTTGCTCAGTACAGTATTGACTGAAACACATGCATATCAGAACTGTGGAAAATCAGGGCTATCTACATATGTTTCTGTTATTTTCTATGTATACTACATACAGCCAATAATATTAAAATGTCACAAATTGACAAACCTGGATGGCAGCTTCACAAAGATTTCTTATAATTCTCTATTTTTTCTTCTAGCTAGAACTACCTTATAATAAAATTTGTGAAGTGAATCCACAGAAATTGAGCAAAATAAAAAGGAGTCGTTGAGTGTGAGGAAAGCTGCAAAGAAGTAAAGACAGGTGGAGACATGACAATACTGAGCATGTTAGTGACCTTCACAGTAACTGACTTCCTGGAGGAGTGTGAGCTTAAGCCAGAATGAAGTGATAGACCGTGAAAGACGGATGAAGGAGTAGCAGCTTCTGGAGGCAAACATGGTGTGTGGTTGGCTGGATTGGGATATGTGGAGGGACTCTGAACATTCTGCTTTAGGTCCAGCACTAGAGAAAGAGGACTCATCTTTATTTAGCACCTTCCACAATCTGTAGAGAAATCTGAAACATTGCAAAAGAAGATATATGAATGGCCAGTTCAGGGAAAAATGCAAAGTAAAACCACAGTGAGAAACCACTAAGCAACCATTAGAATGGCTAAAATTAAAATGATTAATAACTATAAATGCTAGCAAGGATGTGGAACAATCTGTACTCTCCTCCATTGCCTATAGGAATATAAAACATCCATTTTGAAAATCAATTTCATATCATCTAATAAAGTTAAACAAGCTAGTCCTCTACAGCTACCATTTCCACTCCTAGGTATATACTCAAGAGAAATGAAGATTTTGTCAATAATCCCTGCATAAAAATGTTCATAGTTTCTTTATTTATAATAGTAAAAAATAAGAAATAACTGCCAATTTACAAAAATCATGATTCAATCATACAATGGAATATTATCAGCAATGAAAATGAAAGAACTACTGATACGTGCACCAACATGGGTTGATCACATAGGTATTACAACAAGCGCAAAAAGCCAGATACAAGGGAGGCCATATGGGATGAGTAGATTTGTATGAAGTTTTAAAACAGGAAGAACTGTGCTATCCTGATAGCCGTCAGATCAATGGCTGCTGGAGGCATGGAAGCTGAGTTGAAGGGAGAAAAAGGGATCTTTGTGTACATTGATAGTGGCAAGAGTAATATGCTGCATTTGTCAAAATTCATTGATAAATTTGATGAAGATCTGATTATTTTGGTATATGTACATTTTATAAGTTTAAAAATCTTATAATAAAAATCATAATGTTGCTGATAAAAATAATAATTAAAAATATTAGCAACAAAATCCAACAGTATACCAAAAGAATAATACACCATGATATGTCCATATATGGCAAACACAGAGCTAACATTATACTGAATAGGGACAAGCTTATAGCCTCTCCTCCAAGATCTCGAAGAAGGCTAAGACTCCCACTTTCATCACTTTTATTCTACACAGCACTAGAAGTCCTAGCAAGAGCAATCAGCCAAGAGGAGGAAATAAAGGGCATCCAAATTGGAAAGGAGAAAGCCAACTTAGCCTTATTCGCAAATGGCATAATCTTTTACTTAGAAAAAACTAAATATTGGCCGGGTGCGGTGGCTCACGCCTGTAATCCCAGCACTTTGGGAGGCCGAGGCAGGCGTATCACGAGGTCAGGAGATCGAGACCATCCTGGCTAACATGGTGAAACCCCGTCTCTACTAAAAATACGAAAAAAAAAAATTAGCTGGTCGTGGTGGCGGGCGCCTGTAGTCCCAGCTACTCAGGAGGCTGAGACGGGAGAATGGCGTGAACCCAGGGGGTGGAGCTTGCAGTGAGCCGAGATCGCACCACTGCACTCCAGCCTGGATGACAGAGCGAGACTCCATCTCAAAAAAAGAAAAAAAAGAAAAAACTAAATATTCCACCAAATAAATGGTGAGAACTAATAAGCAAATTCAGTAAAATTACAGAATACAAAATCAATGTGCAAACTTTCAGAGCATTTATATATACAAGCACCATATAATCTGAAGAAGAAATCAAGAAAGCAAAACTATTTACAAATCATAAAGAGGATAAAATAACTAAGAATCAATTTACCCCAGGAAGTAAAACAAAAACTATAAGGCACTGATGAAGGAAATTGAAGAGTACACAAAACTGGAAGAGCCAGGCACAGTGGCACATACCTGTAATCCTGGCACTTTGGGATGATGAGACAGGAGAATTGTTTGAGCCTGGGAGTTCAAGACTAGCCTGGGAAACATAGTGAGACCTTGTCTCTAAGAAAAAAAATAAAACACATAAATTGGGAGAATTAATATTGTTAAATATTAATTTTAAAAATGAGACACATAAATTTCATGCACATAAATTGGGAGAATATTGTTAAAATGTTCATACTACCCAAAGCAATTTACAGATTCAATTCAATCCCTATCAAAATACCAATATCATTATTCACAGAAATAGAAAAAATCGTGAAATTCATATGGAATCGTAAAATATCCCAAATAGCCAAAGCAATCATGAGCAAGAAGAACAAAGCTAGAGGCATCACACTTACTGAATTCAGGATACAATATAAAGTTATAGTAACCAAATCAGCATGGTGCTAGCATAAAAACAGACACATAGACTAATGGAATACAAAAGAGAACTCACAATAAATCCATGCATTGATAGCCAACTCATTTTTGGTAAAGGAACTGAGAATATACAATGGAGAAAGAACAAAAGCAACAATGGAGAATAAATGGAGCTGGGAAAATGCTACCAGATGCAGAAGAATACCACTAGAACCGTCTCTCACCATATACAGAAATCAACTCAAAATGGATTAAAGATTTAAATGTAAGTCCCAAAACTATAAAACTACTAGAAGAATGCTTACAGGAAACACTCCAGACATGGGTCTAGGCAAAGACTTTATGGCTAAGACCTCAAAAGCACAGGCAACAAAAATAAAATAGACAAGTGGGACTATATTAAACTAAATAGCTTCAGCACAGCAAATGAAACAATCAACAGAATGAAGAGGCAACCTGTTGAATAGAGAAAATATTTGCTATGTATTCATCCAACAAGGAACTAACATCTAGAATATACAAGGAACTTAAAAAACTCAGCAGTAAAAATACAAATAATCCAATTAAAAAATGGACAAAGTGTCTGAATAGATGTTTCTCAAAAGGAGACATACAAATGGTCAACAGGTATACGAAAAACACTCAACCTTATTAAATATCAGGAAAATGCAAATCAAAACTATAATGAAATATCATCTTATCCTATTTAGAATGGCTACTAATAGGAAATAAAAAATAATGGATAGTGGTGAGCATGTGGAGAAATGGGAACTGTTGTACACTCTTGGGAAAGTAAGTACAGCAATTATGGAAATCAGTATAATGATTTCTCAAAAAACAAAAAATAGAACTACTATTGGATCCAACAACTCCACTCATGGGTATTTATATAAAGGAAAAGAAATCAATATATCAAAAGACTACCTGCACCCCCAGGTTTATTGAAGCACTATTCACAGTAGCGAAGTTATTAAATCAATGGGTGAATTCATCAATGGGTGAATGAATAAATGGTGGTATATATATATACACAATGGAATGCAATTCAGCCATAAAAAAGAATGAAATCCTGTCAGTTGCAGAAACATGGATGTAACCAAAGGTCATTACGTTAGGTGAAATAAGCCAAGCAAGGAAAGACAAATACCACATGTTGTCACTAATATGTGCGAGCCAAAAAGGTTAATCTTAGGGAGGTAGAGAGAGTAGAAAGACAGTTCCCAGAAACTGGGAAGAATGTAGGGGTGGGAAAATATAGAGATGCAGGTTAATGGATGCAAATGTCCAATTATATAAAGAAAATAAGTTCTAATGTTTGATAGCACAGCAGACTGACTAAAGTTAACAAAAATGTATATTTCAAAATAGCTATAAGAGTGGATTTGGCTGGGCATGGTGGCTCATGCCTGTGATCCCAGCACTTTGGGAGGCCGAGGAGGGTGGATCACGAGGTCAGGAGATCGAGACCATCCTGGCTAACATGGTGAAACCCCGTCTCTACTAAAAATACAAAAAAAAAAAAAAAAATTAGCCGGGCGTGGTGGTGGGTGCCTGTAGTCCCAGCTACTCGGGAGGCTGAGGCAGGAGAATGGTGTGAACCCGGGAGGCGAAGCTTGCAGTGAGCCGAGATCGTGTCACTGCACTCCAGTCTGGGTGATGGTGTGAGACTCCATCTCAAAAAACAAAACAAAACAAAAAAGAGTGAATTTAAAATGTTCTCAACAGAAAGAAATGATAAATGCTTGAGGTCATGGATACCCTAAATATCTTGACTGATACACACATTCTATGCATGTATCAAAATGTCACATGTATCCTATAAATATGTACAAATATTATGTACCAATTTTAAAAAATTTAAAAAATAAACAACACAATATGGGGCATTTAAAAAGGTACAAAAATTATGAGCATGATAAAAATTTGGCAAATATTTTCCTTTTTATTAAGATCTTTTTCATTCCATAAGTTTAAGGAGAATAAAGCCCATAAAGCATCAGAAGAAGTTGCTCTCCTGAAAGAGACTCTTCTGCTCAGTTAAAAAGACAGAAACAGAATCACTGGAGTGAGTAGGACTTTGGATAACTGCACAGCACCATGTCTTAGTGTCTGGGATTACACAGACTTAGGGAGGAGGCCTCACCTTCCGGGAAGAACTAAACTTTGGTTCTCTTTCTTGTTTTTTCTATTGCAAGACCAAAATTTTAGAAAACCAAGAGAAAGATTTCAGCCAAAGGGATGTACTGTCTATTACTCTCTTTTATTTTTTAGAATATCCATTGTCAAAGACGATCCAGACTGTTACAAGAGGAATTGTGTTCCTACGCCACCAAAATCCACATGTTGAAGCCCTATGTTGAGAAGGCAGAAGAAGTGGCCATCTACAAGCAAAGGAAAGAGGCCTCAGAAGAGATCAACCCTGCAGCACCTTGACCTTGCACTTGTGGCCTCTGGAACTGTGAGACAACACATATTTATTATTTAAGTCACCCAGCCTTTGGTACTTTGTTATGGCAGCCCTAGCAAATTAAAACAGAAATATTACCTTTTCTACCTTGTCCTATGTATGAACATGAGATTTTTTTAGGAGTATGAATTACCTGAGATTTCAAAAGATAGAGTGAGGCAATTGAAAATAGATGATATAGGGTCATTTCCAAGCCTCTGAGTGTCCCCTGGCCACCACAGAAAAATGAAGATGTTCCCATTCCCTTTCAGTTTCACACAAAGCAAAAGTTGTAGACCTAAACTGACATAGAATCGCCAACTGCATTAATTTATTTGAGATAATGAGGGAGCTAGTTTTGCCCAAATTTCACAGAAAGACGATGAACAAGTAGTAAGCTAAAGAGGCTTCTTTTGCAGGGGATTGCAGGTATTATATGTTTTTCTCCTACTTTTAAGATACATTTTCCTAAAAGGTTTTGTCTAGGAGTAAATGTCATCACTTTGCTTTTTTTCCTCCCAATTGAATCACTGGTTCCTCCCTGCATTTCAGTAATGTTGCTAGCATGGAGGTGTTTGTCCATGATTCACAGATGATTCAAAGAGCAGAGAGCTTCTCCTGAGGTCACACAGCACGTAAGCGGTGGAACAATGGCAGGCACGTGACTCTCTAGGCCCCTAGTCCAGTTTTCTGGGTTCTATGAGAATTATAGCCCTTGGTTTCTGTTACATGTGGTTCTCTTTTGAGCCAGAGAAGGAGGACGCACAGTGAGAAGAAAGTGCCGGAGCCCCAAGTCCTGGCTTAGATTTACTGGGCTGGGGCATGGAGAGAGAGGCTGCCACTGATTCTCTTAACTCCAGCTTCTATTACCAGTCACTAAGCTGAAAGCAGGAAAGTTTATCTTCTGCACTTGGTCCATCAGAACCAAGATGGCAGAAAGCCCCACTATCTACCATGGAAAAGACAAGGGTCCCTCTTACCTTGAACCATGACCCAGCTTTCTAACTACATATGTTTTTCTGCACATGTAGCTATTTTTCTTCTCATCAAGCTCCAGTACTCACAGTGCAAACACAGGAGATACTGAGCCTGATGCTCTGATGGAAGCTCTGAGTTGAGATTTTATTTTATACTTAGGTGCCTCTGAATCATTAGAGTTTTTTGCCTGACTCCACTCTGGCCCCATTTCAATCAAGGTCTATATGCTCTGGGACCTCTCCAGGTTCTCATCAGAAATGAAAAAAAAAAAAAAAAGCCATGTCCAGCTCCTGGGTCCTCCCTGATAGCCGTGAGAGGCAGCTCCTAATGGGAGAGAGCCTTGGGGTGACCAAGGCCTCACAGACTTCATTATTCCTGGACCACATGGCTCCAGCCTCCTGATCACAATGGATCAGTGGTCTTAGATTCCGCTCCAATATTTGAAGTTTTTTGTTCTTCGGCCTCAGCAAATGCTCTCTGGTTGAGATGAAGGGAAAAGACACAGAGACGCAAAAGCTGTGACTGCATGGAACTCTGTCCAAGGTACCTCCCGGTGTTCTCTTACTTATGTTAGCCATGTCCTCATGAATTTAGTGAAATGGGCATGTTGTCTCTGAGTGGAAGTGAGGGGACACCACTGGGCAGAGCTCAATCGAAGGGTGGCTGGTGTCCTCTATACCATTTATCTACACATATTGGGGTTTTTCTAGCATGAAATGTCCCAGAGGCAGCCAAACCCGAAGCTTGGCTCCTCCAAGGAATGAGTGTGAGTATCATAGCCCTGGCCAATGAGCACTGAACTCTAGAGAGACCAAGAGACCTTCTAAATATTGGGACACTTTAGTTCTGAATCCCAGAAGTTGGCTTCTTGCCTGGGAGGCAGGTGTCACTGCATCTGATCCAAAAAAGCAGCCCCATAGCTCAAGATGCTCTTCTGGATTTCTGCCTCTTCCTGGTTCCTGGCCAAGCAAATCTTCACTGCTTTGCTAGCCCATCTATAAATTCAACCAGACTTTTCAAATATGTATTTTCCTCCCATTTTTCCAGTTGTAGTCAATGGGAGAAGTGGTCCAAATGACCTAATCAGCAATTGCTGGAAACCAAAGTAACAGTATACAATTCTATGTGTTAATATCATATACCAAGAGAGAAAATGTATAGATATCAGTAGTAGCCATTTAAGCACTGTAATAATATCTATCTATATCCCATGAGTATAATATATATAAATAAATGATAACAAGAAAATAATCTTTATGTGTAATACGTGACTATGACTCTGACAGACAAACCTGAGAGCATAGTACGACGACACTTATCACCTTCACTCATGAGCCAGATAGTGTGAAATGAGAAGCAGAGATTTGAAATGTGTTGCAAAACTCTCTCAAAGAAAGTAGAGTAATATTTTTCGTGAGCAAATCAAAGCAATCTCCTCACAAATCACATTGGACTTATAATGTGTGGGATGTGTCTTTATTAAAATGGAGGTAATCCTAGGTATGTGGTCTTTTTTACATGAACCGTACTGTCACTGGCTCACTAGCTGTCACTTCACCAACAATCGTTCCATTTAATAAAAGGGAGATCCCCCCATGGGCCAGCATTTCCCAGGTGGAGGCCTCTTGCAGACATAATCTTCCAACAGAGAATTTCCCTGGGAACCTAGAAAGAAGAGAAGAGGCTCAAGCAAAAAGGATGAAAGAAATAGCAACAACGGCCGGGCATGGTAGCTCACACCTGTAATCCCAGCACTTTGGGAGGCCGAAGAGGGTGGATCACCTGAAGTCAGGAGTTCAAGACCAGACTGCCCAACATGGGGAAACTCCCTTTCTACTAAAAATACAAAAAATTAGCTGGGCGTAGTAGCGGGCGCCTGTAATCTCAGCTACTCTGGAGGCTGAGGCAGGAGAATCGCTTGAACTCAGGAGGTGGAGGTTGCAGTGAGCCGAGATGGTGCCACTGCACTCCAGCATGGGCAACGAGAGCAAAACTCCATCTAAAAAAAAAAAAAAAAAAAACCAACAGCGATAATATCATACACTGTCATGGTGCTATGTGTTAATCTGTGTCCTTAGCACTTTCAAAATATGAATTCATTTAATTGTCACGATACAACTATGGGGTGTGCCTGCTAATTTTCCGTTTTCAGGTGATACAATAGGAAAGAAGGTCGCCTACAAGTCGTGGTGGAGCTGGGCTTGCACGCAGACAATCCTGCCCCAGGGCCATGCTCACATCTCTGCACTATCCAGAATGTGAGGGTGGGTGGAGAGTCCAGCTCAGGGAGAGTGATTGGAGAGACAGAATAATAAGAAGAGTGGGCAGACTGGATCACTCTGATGGTTCTGGGGCTTCTCTTCCAGGAGAGAAGAAGACAAAAATTATGTCACCATCAAGGAAAGTATCCAAAGTCTCTGGCTTAAACCTGGGCGTCTCCAGCTCTGGGACAGGTGGCTGGGCAGGGAAGACAAACTAAGGCAAGGGCCCAGCTCGGAAGAGTTTCCTTTCCTGAGAATTCTGCAGGAGTTTCCCTGACCTCATGGCCACCTCTCATACTTTGCTCTTGTTTTTTCCCCAGGGCCGATGAGGGCGTCGTATCTGGTTTCCAGTGGGGTCTAAAGACGCCATCAGAGTGAGTGGAGATTGGGCTTCATAAAGTGGGAGATCTCCAGGATCCTTCCTGGAATCCAAGATTCCCAGAGAAGCCGGATCCCGCGTCCCGGAACCCAACTCCTGCTGCTCTATGAGCCCTGACCTTGGGGAGAACTGGGCTAGTGAGGAGAGGATCAAGATGAACTGGGCTGGGGAGGCAGGAGGTAAAGGGCGGCCTGGAGAGCTCAGCAGCTCCTCCCACGGCGCTTCTGCCCCGGTCTAGGGTCTGCAGACTCCTCAGGTCATATCTCCAAGTACGCCGCCCCACGCCACCCTCCCGTGGTCCCTGTCCCTCTGTCCCCTCCCCAGCTCCCCCTACACCGTAAGAAGCTCCCAGGTAAGCGGCTCCAGGGCCGGGCGGTAGGCAGGAGGGAGCCCGGGAGGCTGGGTCCCCGCGGGGAGGCGGAGAGAGCGCGTCAGGGAGACAGGGAGCGGGCGGGGTCCCTCTCCCGCTCTCAAGGTGCCGGTTCCCGGGGCCCAGGCTCGCACTCCCGGGTACTTGGAGGCCAGGGGAGAGGGAGGACTGTGGCAGGTGAGGCAAGGAGCTGTCTGAGCCGCTCAGCAGCCTCCAGGAGTCAGCTCTCTCCAGGCCTGTCTTCACTCCAGTGCCTGGTCCTGCCCAGGCCCCCACTCCCACTCTGCTCTCAACCTGGCCCCAGACAGGATCCCAAACAACTCCTGTTCCTAATGTGAAAAATGTTTCTGCCGCTTTAGGCAGAACTTGCTTTAGAGCACTGGCGCAGACTTCCGCAGGTCTTGTGTCTGAATTTCTTGGCACTGTGTCTTTTCTCACTTATTCTTCTGCAAGGAAGGAATTATATCACTGGTTGGATGAGACAATTGGCTCAGATGGGTTCATTGAGCACTCACCCACTGGGCAAGTGTCCGTCGGGGCCAGCTCTGGGCCAGATGTGCCCAAGGCTTTATAGCTAGTTGGTGGAAAGGCCTGGAGGGTTCATATTCAAGTCCACCTGACTTGAAAACTCATATTGACCTTACTTAAGTACTGATTCCCCCTTTATAATCCATGCCATAAACTTCATTGTCTTATTTTAAGAAATTGCCACAGCAGCCTTTAGCAACCACCCTCTTGAACAGCTGGCAGTCATCAACATTGAGGCAAGACCCTGCCCAGCAAAAAGATTAAAATTAGCTGAAGCCTCAGACGACCGTTAGCATTTTTTAGCAATAGAGTAATTTTAAATTAAGGTATGTACATAGTTCTTTCATACATAATGCTATTGTATACTTAATAGGCTACAGTAGAGTGTGAATATAACTTTTATATGTACTGGAAAAACAAAAATTTGTGTGACTTGTTTGTTGCCATGGTCTGAAACCAAATCTGCAGTATCTCTGAGGTACGTCTGTAGTTTCCCTTTCCCTCTTTTGAACTTGTTTCTTGTCCTTGTCTGGTCCTGCAAGCTGTATGAGTTTGCCTTCTCTGGTAGGTCTGGGGACATTGTATCCCTTATAACCTTGGTTCCTGGCATATGACACTGGTACCAAGCTCTGTTGGACTAGTGAGGCTCCCTACACACCTCCTGAACTAGAGCAAAAGCTCTGTGCACACACCGTGCATGTGTGAGCCTGTGAGGAGACGGTGCCTTCCTGCAGGCTGTTCTGAAGGGGTGTTCTGTTGTGACTGGAGGAAATAGCCATGGGCCCCTGGGCAGAAGTGGCTCAGAATGGAATGGATGGCCCCAGTTTTGATCATCTGGGAACAGGAAGATTCTCAGATAAAAACCCATGTTTTAGAAGACAAAACTGCCCAAGAGTGGACAGCAGCTAACCAGTAAGCTATCTGGGATATCACTGTACACTGGGAGGGAAGATGGCCTCTGCCATGGTGTAGGGTGCCTGACCCAGACAAGGAGGCCTTCCTAGGGGTCAGTGCTTCTGAAGCACCTTTAAATGAGGACAAATACCTCATGTTCATGATTAGCCGACTTGTGCCCACTCAGTGGAAAAAGAACCCAGAATTTTGCAAAATTTTCAGAGAGAGGGATTCCCCTCTTGTCTCTTAGTGCTAGGGTTATGCATGACTCGTGCTTGAATTACAGTGTGTACTCAGCTGAAAGTCTTAATTATTAGAATATAAGAGGCCCAAACTACTGCTGTTACAGATATGTAAAACTACACAGTATAAGTTTAAACAACCCACAACCAATTAACAGTGAAGATAGATTAACAACCTTTGTAAATTTAAAACAAGATTGGCAACCCTTTAGAAAAAAAATGAGACTTTTGCAAAACAATCTAAATGATACACTAATAACAAACCTTCATGAAAATGACATTTCAACCATCTGAATTTCTGCTTTAAGTTATAAACTCCAAAATGAACTAACTCCCAATAATTTACAGTAGGGAGCTCTAAGCCACAAATAAAGGTGTCAGGACAGACCTGAGACCTGGAGTGAGCACATCCCTCAGGGTCATAAGTCAATCCTGTAAGACCCTTCCTCCCTCAGACACTCCATCCAGTCATCAGGAGGTCAAGAAAAGTTCCCCACAGCACTAAGACCCAACCACCTCACTGTCCTCACCTCCATGGACAGAGCCCAGGTGAAAGCCACCCCTGCTCCTCCTCCCGCATCTCCCACAGGCTCAGCACCATCGTCGGCCTGGAGTGCACCTGGACTGAGCTCATCATGCTCTGTCCCTGTTTGTGTCAGTCACACTGGGTCCCCCACATACTCTGCACTTGCATCCCCACAAGGCTCTGCACACCTCTATTCTGTCTCCCCGACCTCCCCAGCCACAGAAATCTTCCCAGTGCACCCCCTGGATTTCTCAGTCCACATCAGCAAAACCTCCTCAGCCTCTCTCAGGATGTTCCTGCATCTCGCAGCTCCAGCAGCAACCTGGGTTTCCCTGAGGACATGACCCCCTCCGAAGTCCTCCCACATGGGGGAGTTTCCCCAGGGACTTGTACCCCTGGGTTCAGAGGTGAGGTGGGGTCCTTGCTCCTCATTGTGGTTCTCAGAACTTTCTGCCTCCCTCCTCCCTAAAACCCCTAGGCTGTCATCAGATTAGAGCCCCATTTGCCTCACTGTAACCATTCCCTGTGGGCCCCAGGCTGTTCTTCTCAATCCTGAGTCTTGTAGCTCCTGGTTCACTGTCACCCTCTCCAGCATTGCTGTCTCCTTGACTCTTGGTGACTTCAACATACGCAGATGTGGTGGGCTGAGTAATGGTCCCCAGAGATGTCCAGTCTTAATCGTTGGAACCTGTGAACAGGTTGCATTGCGTGGCAAAAGGGATATTACTCATGTAATGAAGATTAAGGACCTTAAAATAGGGAGATTCTGCTGGACTCTCTGTGTGGGCCCAATCAAATCACAAGAGCCATTAAAAGCAGAGAGCCTGCCCTGGTTGGAGTCAGATTCTGCAGAGGAGGAAGGCAGAGGAGAAGCTGGAGAGGGGAGGTCAGAAGTTCCAAGCAGGAGGATTGAATGTGCCTTAGGCACCGTGTGTGAGTATCTGAGAGAAGGCTCTAGGAGCTAAGGGTGGCTCTTAACAAGGAAGTGGAAACCTCTTTTCTATCTGCAAGGAAGTGAATTCAGGCAAGAACCTGAATGAGCTTGGAAGTGGATTCTTCCCCAGAGTCTATGGAAAGGAATGCAGACCTTCCCGTATGTTGATCTTAGCCCCATGAGACTGGGTGGACTTGCAATCCACACGACTGTGCCATGATACATAGGTGCTGTTTAAAGCCATTTGGTTTGTGGTAATTTTTATGGCAGCAATAGACACCCACACAGCAGAGAAGATGCCCTCGCTTCCTGGCCTCTCAGATCCTGGAACTCCTCTCCTCCATGATCTTCTCCTGTCTGCCTGAATCTCATGCCCTTGTTATCCCCTAGGCCTCATCATGGCTAAGAACCCCAGCCCTTCCATACTCTCTATCTCACACTTCCCACTCTCTGACCATCTTTCCACTCATCCCCTTGCAAGGTGGCCACAGGCTCTGAGGACACAGATACTATCATTTTATCATATGCTGTGATGTAATATCAGTGGACCACTCATTGCATATGTGCTTGCTTTCCACGCTTGGAGTCTACCCTGTAGTACATCAATTCCAACAATCGTTCCACCCTCCTGGGATTCCCAATCCAGTGATCCTGCCATCTACTCACTGTCCCTCACCCTGGGTGTCCTGTCCTCCCTCCTCACCCATTTTGAATTCTATGGTAAATAATTTCCATCCCTCCCTTCCCTCTCCCTTGAATTGTCACACTCACCTGGCAAAACTACACAGCTGGTGGGTTCCACCTCTGCCTATGCTGAGCCTGCCCCCATGAGCTGCAGGAGGCTGGAGAGCAGCACACAGTACGCTGACTGGTCTCTTAAAATTTAGGATTCCAAACCACATAGGAAGTCCCTACCATGGCCAGCAATCACCCTCTCCCTGCATGGCTCACCCTCAGCCTCCTCCTGGCCTGGGTGACTCTTACACACTTTTTCTTTGTGCTCACACATCCAACCTGCCTTCCCCATTCTTACTTCAGCTGATGACCTTGCTTCCCACTTCACTGAGAAAACTGAACACATTAGAAGACAACTTCACAGATTCCACCACTGTCTGCTCATGCATTTGCAGCTGCACCACATGTCAGGCGTTTTACCATGTGAGGGACTGTTGTGGGTTAACCCTTCTGCTCCCAGCCAGAGCCAGACCCTCTTCTGGTGCCCCAATTGCCATCCCTTATCATCTACTTAAAGGTGTCAGTTCATCAATTAATACCATTTTTATCTTTATCGTCAACCTTTTTCCTCTCTCCCCACTGGATCATTGTGGCAGTCATGAGAATGCACATCCCAGCCCCTCATCTAGAAGAAGCAGAATTGATGATGGCTCCAGCTCTTGAAGTCTGAAATCTATTGCCACATTTGCTCTGAGACTATGCCCACCCCTGGCTTTTTCCAGCCAATGATTGAGGAAAGTAGGGCAGAAACTAAGGCAGGACATTCCTCTTCTGAAGGCTGACTGAAGCTCCAGGGCTCCCTGCCACCCTTACTGAACTTCCCTTAGCCTGCACACGGTCTAGGATGCTTCCAGCTGACCTTCCTGCACTCTCTACATCACTGAGGCTCAGAGTTGCTTTGTGGTCCAGTGGCTTTCCCAGCATTTTCTGTCTCATGAATTTCTCTCACAAGTATTTCCCCTAATAAATCCTTACATGTTTACTACTGTATTGGGGTCCGCTTCTCAGGGGACCCTAACTAACACAAGTGGCATGAAGGGTGATCCATGAAAACAGGCAAAAATGGGAATTTGAAATAAGCTTCCCACTGCCTGGCAGGCCAAGAGGATGCCACCCGGGTTGGTGGCAGACACAGAAAGTCCATGGCACAAGGTGCAGCTGAGCAGCTGGGGGTCTCACCAGTGCTGAGCTGAGAAGTTGCCTTGGTTAGGGAGTGCTATGGCACATGCAGTGATAGAATGCCCTGCATAATAAGGACAGGGTTGGAAGAAACCTACAAAGACAGTGGCTTTGGCTAGTTACTTCTCAGCTGCATCGATGCTGTGTAAAAAGATAATGAGAATCTGTGGATTGTTGACAGCTATGACTGGCTACATTTGACACCCTCGGCAGTGTCTCATGGACAGGTCTTTATCTCCTGTAGCAAAAGGGCAGATAGCAAGGAATGTTAGCTCTACATCACTATGAGGGCCACAGTGCTCCAGAGATGTTTGACACTCAGCCAAGGCAGGCCTGTTACAGGAAAGTCAGGGCTTTGGTGGGGAAACCTGAGATTCTGCAAACTGGAACAGGATTATGCGATGCGTGCCCTCCAGGATCTTCTGGGCATGCAGAGGAGGCTCACCCTTCTCTAGTAATGGTTCCCACTTTCACTGCTGGAAGATGCTACACAATCCTCACCCCTATGATGCCGCGAGAATCCCACTCAGGAGGTTTGCAGGAACTAGCCAGCACGTCCCCATAGGAGCCCAGGGACTACTTCTGGGATTGGAATTTGAGGGTGTTTGATCAAGGAACCAGAATTTCAGGCTGGATGAATATAATCCTTTGGCTTGAAGACACTTTCTCAGGGCATGGATTTATCAAACACTCCAGGACTTTGATAAGTGGAGTAAACCCACTGCTGGGGTGTATCCACATAGTCTAGAAAAAAACATGCCCAACTCTCAACAAGGTAGACATGTCTTAGTTGCCCTGGAACATGTAGAGGATGGAATAACAAGCTGAGGGGAGTGGGCTTGGTGAAGGCCTACCAAAACCATGCTCTACAAGAGGGCCCAGAGGACACACCTTCCACCAGAGCCTCAGGAACTTGATGGTGAGAGGGACCTGCATCACTAAGAAGTGTCAGGGTATTGTCCTTTGTAGGCTGGGGGTGATGGTAGTAAAGATAGTCCCAGAGTTTCATTTCTAATATCACTGGGGAGAGTGTGGCCCTGAAGAGACAAAGACCAAGTGGTGGCAGTGACTTGCAAAAGCCAGAGGGCACGGTTACTATGGCAACCTCGGAGGAGAAGCCAAGAGGACTCAAGCTGCAGGGAATGTGGGGAAGTATAATAGAGGGTGGTGTCCCAGGGTTAGGACAGGCAGCTGGTTGATATCTATGATAAGAAAGCAAGAATTGAGAAGCAGGAGGGTGAAGGTGTTTGACTCAATACAAAATCATGATCCCATCCTCAATGCCTAGACCTCAGCCAAGATGCAGATTCAGATCTCAGTGACAGAGGAAGAGTCCATATCTCTAGGCGGAATACTCTGCAACCCCGTGGAAGTATATGCTGGGACAATTCCCTCAGTCCTTCGGCAAAGGACCATATAGCCATTTACTCAGGAGATTGTACACTGGGGAAAGGAAACAGGCAGAACTGGGGGGATTATTGACACTGGGTGTGAACTGACATTGATGCTCAGATGCCCACAGCACTATCATGTCTCTCATCACAGTGGGGCTTATGGAGCTCAGGGAGTAAACCTGGACACATTATGGCCCACAATGGAACTACTGGATCCATAGACCCAGCCCTGGTTATCTTCCTATACCCTGAGTGCATAATTGACACTGATGCACTGCTAAGTGGAGTTACCCCCACCCTGGGTCCCTAGTCTGTGGAGTAAGGACTTTCATTGTGCTGAAAGCCAAAGGGAAACCTCTGACACTGCCCCCATCCTGGCCAAATCAAAAATCATAGTGTGTCCCAGGGTGGGTCTTGTGTAAGATACTTCAAGTATTGTGGGGATCACATCACCATTACAGAGCTGAAGGATGTGGGATGGTGTTGGGGCTGTCTATTGTCTCTACGTAATCCAGCAACCTGTCCCTGAAGAAGCCTGATGAAGCCTAAAGAATGAACTAGATTACTCCAGGTCTGGCCAAGTAGGAGTTATAATTGCAGCTTTTGTGCTGTCTGGATATCACTGGTAGAGCAGATTAATAAACCCTTGGACACAGAGCATGCAGCTGTGGATTTGGTGACTGCATTTCTTTCCACTCCAATTAGAAAGTGGATATGGAGTGATTCACATTCATGTGGGATCCTCAAAACATTGATTTATCATTTGTCTCAGGGCTATTGTAACTCCCCTGACCTCTATAGTATAGTCTTAAGACTATACTAAACATACTGGATATCCAATAGGATATTAAATCAGCTCATATCATTGACAACTTCCTGTTGACCTGGCTGGATGAGCAGCAGGTAGAAAGTGCACTGTAGTGCTTGGCAAAACACGGGCACTCCAGAAGGTGAAGATAAACCTTACAAAGCTTCCAGAGTGGCCACTCGGCCAGGTGCAGTGGCTCACGCCTGTAATCCCAGCACTTTGGAAGGCTGAGGTGGATGGATCACCTGAGGTTGGGAGTTGGAGACTAGCCTGACCAACACGGAGAAACCCCGTCTCTACTAAAAATACAAAATTATCCAGGCATGGTGGCCCATGCTGGTAATCCCAGCTACTTGGGAGGCTGAGGCAGGAGAATCACTTGAACCCAGGAGGCAGAGATTGCAGTGAGCCAAGATCGTGCCATTGCACTCCAGAGTGGGCAACAAGAGCAAAATTCCATCTCAAAAAGAAAAAGATAGCGGGCATTGAAGTAAAGTTTTATGGGTGAACAATGGCCAAGTGTTTAGGGGAATGCAGGTGTGTCCCCTCCAAGGTAACAGACAAACTGTTTCATCTTGCATCCTCACCAGAAAGAAGGAAGCACACTGCCTGATGAGCCTCTTCCAGTTCTGACAACACCACTTTCCACATCTAGGTATGTTGCTTTGGCCCACACTCTAGGTGACATAGGAGGAGGCCAGCTTCAAGTAGGGCCCACACAGAAAAGGACCCTGCAGCAGATCCAGGCCATGGTGCGAGCAGCCACCATCTCTCAGACCCCCTGGTGCTGGTGATGCCATTGGTAGGGAAAGATGCAGGATGGAGCTGAACCAAGCACCAGTGGGAAAGTCACAGTGAAAGGCCTGGGATTCTGGAGTAAGGTCATGTCATTCACAGCAGAGACATATGCCACCTATTAGAAGCAACTTTTAGTGTCCCTTGTCCTGATTAGATAGAATGCTTAACCACGGGACACCAAGCAACTATGTGGTTCGAGTGCCTGTGTGACCCACAGAGTCATAGATTAGACAGGCCCAACAGCATCCATCATGAGGTGAAAATGGTCCACCTGGGTTGAGCTTGAATCCCATGTTTACACCCAGAGAAAATACCCAAGTCTGAAGTGGCACTGAACAACCAAACAGACAAATGGAAGTTAGCCAGCCTTCACCATGGGTCAGCCCTGGTTTGGTAGGATGAGTTCATGAATGGAGCAACCACAGTGGCAGGCATGAGGCTACGTATGGGGCCAACAGCACTGACTCCCCCCTACCAAGGCAGATCCAGCTGCCGACACCTCTGAATGTCCAACTCATTAGCAATTGAGGCCCATGATGTGCCCCAGTGGGGCACTATTTCTTTAGGTGACTAACTAGCCACTAAGTAACAAGTTGACTACATTTAGCTACTTCCATCCTGGAAGGGCCAGAGGTTCATCTTCACAGGGATAGGCTCCTATTCCATGGGTGTTTTCATGTCCTGCTCTCAGAAACTCAGCCAGCACCTCTCCGGGTGCTGTTGACATTCCTGATCTGCAGGCTAGGCGGTGCTCCTAGCCCATTATCTGCCTGAAGGACCCACTTGGCTGGGAAAGTTTCAGTGTTTCCATGGCTGTGGGTTCCACTAATCCTATCACCATCTGCACCATCCAGAGGCTGCCAGCCACAAGGAATGCTGGACAGGTCTTCTACAGGCAAAACTCAGTGCCAGCCTGGAGGAAGCACTCTGAGAGGTGGGTGCCATCTTTTAGGACACGGTGCATTGTTTGAATCAGAGATGTCTCTAGAGTGCTGTGTTCTCAATAGGAAGAACATGTGTGTCCAGGGATCAAAAGATGGAAGCAGGTTTGGCTCCACGTCCAATCCCTTAGATTCACCCAATGGGGTATTTTGCACGTTTTATCTTCCAACACTGGGCTGTGCAGGGTACGAGGTCCTGGTTTCCAAGGAGGGTACCCTTAAAAGGAGACAAAAGACAGCCCACTGAACTACACATTATGGTTGTCACGAGAGAAGTTTTGATAGTTTGTGCCCAGAGACCACCTGGTGAAAAGAGGATTCTCCTCCTCTCCAGGCCCAGGTAATAGATCCTCATCTTCAGGAGAAGGCATGGCTACTTTCACACAATGAGGGCGGAAGTGTGTGTGGAAACCAGAGATCCACCTGGGGGCCTTCTGGTTTCCCTTACCTCATTGTAAGTGTGAGCAGAATCATCCAGCAATTCAGCCTGAGACAGCTTGATTTCCAAGGACCCAGACCCGTCAGGGCAGAAGGTTTGAGTAATGCTGGGTAATCTCCCAAGGCCCTGCTCCTGTGCTCTGACATCCTCAGTAGCATTGGTGCTGAGGTCCTGCTTCCAATGGGCTGTTCCCAACCAGTGACAGATCACACCAGTGACACGAAAGCAGGACATTCCTGGGAGACCAGGGACTCCTCTGATGGCCAACTGTAGCTCAAGGACTCCTCCATGGCCTTGCTTAACTCTCCTTAGATTGCCTGTGGTCTACGGCACATCCAGTAAACCTTGTCTCCTTCTGTCCATCACTGGGGATCACCTTTGCATCTTGTTGCCTTTCCCAGGGTAACCTACCTCCCTTGCCATATCACCTGACAGGTGTGTCCCCTAATAAAATGCTATAACTTTAATCCCATGATGGAACTTGCTTTTTGGAGCATTTGGACTATAAAATCATTTTCATCTGCCCACTAGTGATCTCTTACTTATTCCAATGTGTAAAATCTTTTTGTTTATTCAACTTCTACCTGCATTGGCTCCATTTTGCTGGTATTTGTATTATGCTTTTGAGTTCCTCAATGTTTATTGTTTAATCACTAAATTTGGGGGTAGTTTGTTACACAGCAATGGATAACTAATGAAGCCCTCTTACATTTCCATTATTCTATAGAAGTTAACTACATCTCTTTTATTTTCTCCTATTTTGATAATATTAGCCACACATAGGGTTTCTAGTTTCTCAACACCTATTCTTTTCTTTATTTTAGTTTCTTTTCTCCTTTATTCCTTCCCTTTTTTTTTTTTTTTTTTTTGAGATGGAGTCTCACTCTCTTGCCCAGGCTAAAGTGCAGTGGCTCAATCTCAGCTCACTGCAAGCTCTGCCTCCTGGGTTCATGCCATTCTCCTGATTCAGCTTCCCAAGTAGCTGGGACTACAGGCACCTGCCACCACGCCCAGCTAATTTTTTTGTATTTTTAGTAGAGACGGGGTTTCACCATGTTAGCCAGGAAAGTCTCTGTCTCCTGACCTCATGATCTGCCTGCCTCAGCCTCCCAAAGTGCTGGGATTGCAGGCATGAGCCACCACACCTGGCCTCTTCCTTCCGTTTCTCTTTCCTTCTAACCCTCCCTCCCTCTCTTTCTTCTCTATTTCCATTCAACCTATCACCTTCCCTCCTTCTTGCTCCCTTTCCTTCCCCTTCCCCTTCCTTCTTTTCTTCTTTCACTTTTTCCTCCATTCCTCCTTCTTTCCCTCCCTTCCTCCATTTTTTCCTTTTTATTATAAAATTTTCCTAAAATATAAAATAACCCTATGTGATTGGGCTGTAAGTAAGCATTTTCTGAATCTATATGTCAAAAGCATAATGTCTTTTATATGAGAAACAAGTAAACAACAGGAAGTTATTAACAGAATAAAAATGCTTGCTATAATTCTACCACCAAGACGGTGACTTTTAACACAATTCCTTCAACTCAGTGTTTTCAGAACACATCATCAACATCAAGTATTACACATTTATTGTAAAAGTTTAAGTAGCCACAATTACTTTGGAAATCATATTATCATTATCTAGTATGGTTAAAGTCCATACAATGTATCATGCAACCAACCCATTCCTAATCATCCACTCTGGGGGCTTTGGGGCTTTCTTGCCTATGTGCACAGGAGACATGCACACTAATATTTATGGCAAAAACTGGAATCGGCCACATGTACATCAATAGGAAACCGGTGAAATTGTGGTAAAACGATATGTAAGCCTTCAGCGTAAAAATGAATGAATGACAGCCTCCCACACCACAGATAACTCCTACACATAATGTGTATCATGGGAAAATACATGCAGTAGGAATTTGCTGTACAGGAAGCTTAAAAACCAGCAAAACTAACTGAGGTTTGTTTTGGGGAGATATATATATATATATATATATATATATATATATACTTATTGCACAAATCTTTGAAGGAATACAAAGGAATACGTATCAGAAGACTCAGGATGGAGTCTCCTGCCGAGACCAGCTCGGTCAGGAAGACCCTAACCCAGTGGTGCTAGAGGACTTAAAGACACACACACAGAAATATAGAGGTGTGAAGTGGGAAATCGGGGGTCTCACAGTCTTCAGAGCTGAGAGCCCCAAACAGATATTTACCCACATATTTATTAACAGCAAACCGGTCATTAGTGTTGTTTCTATAGGTATTAAATTAACTAAAAGTATCCCTTATAGGAAGCAAAGGGATGGGCCGAATTAAAGGAATAGGTTGGGCTAGTTAACTGCAGCAGGAACACACTCTTAAGACACAGATCGCTCATGCTATTGTTTGTGGCTTAAGAATGCCTTTAAGCGGTTTTCCGCCCTGGGCAGGCCAGGTGTTCCTTTCCCTCATTCTTGTAAACCTGCAACCTTCCAGCTTGGACATTAGGGCCATTATGAACATGTTACGGTGCTGCAGAGATTTTGTTTATGGCCAGTCTTGGGGCCAGTTTATGGCCAGATTTTGGGGGACTTGCTCCCAACGGTCTCCTTCTAGGGGGTGACTGGGTAGCAGCCCAGGGTAGCTTTACAGGCTTGTGTTTTACACCAGTGCTGGGCACCCTCGTAGATACTTGATTATAATTCCTTAAACAGAGTTTTCCAAATTAAAATATACCTGTTTTTTATAGAAATGAAAAAGAAAAGAATTTCAAAGTTCATTGCAAAGATTCTTAACAAGAACTACTTACATTGGAAGAAAACCACAGAGAATTGTAAGGAGCCATGTGACAGAGAGGACCAGGATGCCATGAAAATGGCATTGGCTACAAATAGGTCATTTGATCCTTGGCTCCCTGGCATCTCTCTAGATTTTCAATGATACAATGTTCAATCTGCTGTGCAAGATAATTTCATCTTCCAAAGATTTGATGTTACATTTTACCACACATTAAACTGAAATAAACTTTTACAGATTGGAAATGCACATCATTGATCAAAATAAATGAAACATGAAAAGAGTAGGGAGGAATACCCAGTGATGGAATAGCAAATATGAATGGAAAACAGAATAGGACTGCTAAAAAGAAAAAAAAATTCAGAAGCATGTAATAGCAGCGCTATTTAGAATCATAGTGGTGTCCAAATCACTTCTATCACATCTCATTCAATACCACAACAAAAGATGTTAAGTTTATTATAGAATGCCCATCAAATAGCCAGTTTTTGAAAAAAACTTGTTTCTCAATTAGAACTAACCATTTCGGGCTACAGCATCAAGCCAAAATTATTGGCATCATGCTAATAATTTTTACTAAAGTAAAATAAAGTTGACTGAAGTATGAGATTCACATTTTTGTAAATGAAAAGCAATTTGATTAGGCATTTTTTTCTGCACAGCAAAAGAAACTATCATCAATCACAGTGAACAGACATCCTACAGAATGGGAGAAAAATTTTGCAGTCTATCCATCTGACAAAAGTCTAGTATTCAGAATCCACAAAGAACTTAAGCAAATTTACATGAAAAAAAAACTTCATTAAAAAGTAGACAAAGAACTTGAACAGACACTTCTAAAGAAGACATACATGTGGCCAACAAAAATATGAAAAAAAGCTCAACATCGCTGATCATTAGAGAAATGCAAATCAAAACCACAAATGAGATACCATCTCATGTCAGTCAGAATGGCAATTATTAAAAAGTCAAGAAACAACAGATGCTGGCGAGGTTGCAGAGAAATAGGAATGCTTTTACACTGTTGGTGGAAAAGTAAATGGTTAATCCATTGTGGAAGACAGTGACAGTGTGGTGATTCCTCAGAGATTTAGAATCAGAAATACCATTTGATCCAGCAATCGCATTACAGGGTATATACCCAAAGGAATACAAATCATTCTATTATAAAGATATGTGCATGTTTACATTCATGGCAGCACTATTCACAATAGCAAACACATGGAATCAACCCAAATGCCCATCAATGATGAACTGGATAAAGAAAATGTGGTACATATACACCATGGAATATTATGCAGCCATAAAAAGGAATGAGATCAAGTCCTTTGCAGGGATATGGATGAAGCTGGAAGCCATTATCCTCAGCAAACTCACACAGGAACGGAAAACCAAACACCACATGTTCTCATTTATAATTGGGAACTGAGTAATGAGAACACATGGACACAGGGAGAGGAACAACACACACTGGGGCCTATTGGGGCAGGGTGGTGGTGGGAGGATCATTAGCAAAAATAGCTAATGCATGCCAGGGTTAATACCTAGGTGATGAGTTGACAGGTGCAGCAAACCAACATGGCACATGTTTACCTATGTAACAAACCTGCACATCCTGCACGTGTACCCTGGAACTTAAAAAAAATTAAATTAAAAGACAAGCTTAAAGAAAAAGACAAGCTGAAAGAGTTAATGAAAAATAATTAGATAAAAGAAGTCTTTGATTTTCAAAAACCTGAAACAATAGTTATAATTTTGCTTTTAACATATATTCAAAACATTTGATACTGTTCCCTTCCAGAGGTGCATCTTAATTCCCTCTCCTGAGTGTGGCTTGGACTTAATGAGGCACTTCTGATATGGCCTGGTTCTGTGTTCCCACCCAAATCTCATCTTGAATTGTTATGCGAATTGTAATCGCTACCTATTGGGGGAGGGACCACATGGGAGGTGATTGGATAATGGGGGCGGTGCCCCCATGCTGTTCTCGTGATACTGAGGGAATTCTCATGAGATCTGATGGTTTTATAAGGGGCTTTTCCCTGCTTCATTCTGCACTTCTCTCTCCTGTCATCATGTGAAGAAGGATGTGTTTGCTTCCACTTCTGTCATGACTGTAAGTTTCCTGGGGCAGGCTCCTCAGCCATGCAGAACTGTGAGTCAATTAAACCTCTTTCCTTTATAAATTACCCAGTCTCAGGTATTTCTTCATAGCAGTGTGAGAATGGACTAATATAACTTCTAACTTATAGAATAATGCTGACATAATGGTTTGTAACTCTGGGTGTAGAACCTAAAACTCACTGCGGCTTCCACCTTCTCTCTCTCTGTCTCTGGGATCATGAGCTCTGGGGGAAGCCAGCTGCTGTGCCACAAGCAGCCCTGCAGGAAGGTCCATGTGGCTGAGAACTGAGGCCTTCCGGGACCAGACAACAAAGAACTAGGCCTTTTCCAACAGCCATGTGACTGATCCATGTTTCATGTGAATCCTCAGCCCCAGTGAAGCCCTCAGATGATGCAGCCCTTGGCTGACAATTGGACTGCAACCTTGTGAGAGGCCCGGAGCAAGAAGCACTCAGGGAAACCTCTCCTGGACTCCTGACCATTGGAAACTGTGGCAGATGAGGAATATTTGTTGTTTTAAGCTAAGTTTTACATAATTTGTTATGCAATAGTAAATAAATAACACATTTTCACAAGAGAGGATGTATTATTACACATTAAATTGCATTTGCTTTAAATGTATCATCATCATCATTATTATTTTTGAGACATGGTCTCGCTCTGTCACCCAGGCTGGAGTGCAGTGGCATGATCACCATGCACTGCAGTGTCGACCTCCTGGGTTCAAGGGACCCACTGATCTCAGCCTCCTGAGTAGCTGGGACTACCATCATGAACTACTATGCCTGGCTAATTTTCTAATTTTTTGTATAGATGGGGGTTTTGCCCAGGCTGATCTTGACCTTCTGGAGTCAACAAATCTGCCTTCCTCTGCCTTCCACAGTGCTAGGATGGCAGGCGTGAGCCACCATACCTGGCGTAAATTAATTATAAGATATTAAACATGTAACTTAGTTTTAAAAGGTAAGGAGAATTTCCATGGCTGAAGAGGATGTATTTTATGACCATTCACAATGATCACTTTACTTGAACTTCAATTTCCAACTGTGTCCGAAGTAAACACAAAAGGAAGATCCAACCCTTGCTAGGCTGATTCTATTATGCCCTCAACAACCAGCTCCTGGTCATTCACCATCCTCCAGTTATTCAATCAACTCTAATGTAGGTGCTGCTGTGAAGGGAGTTAGTGGATATAATTAAGGGTCTCAATTAGTTGACTTTAGGCTGGGTTTATCCTGCTTGGACTGTCCTAATCAGGTGAGACCTTGAAAGGACTGGGTTCTTCCTGAGCATAGAGACTCACAGTGTGAGAGGGACTCAGCATGAGGGGTTTCCTCCAGCATGGGCTTTGAAAATGAAAGGGCTGTGGGCCGGGTGCGGTGCCTCACGCCTGTAATCCCAGCACTTTGGGAGGCTGAGGCGGGCGGATCATGAGGTCAGGAGATCGAGACCATCCTGGCTAACATGGTGAAACCCTGTCTCTACTAAGAATACAAAAAAAAAAAAAAAAAAAAATTAGCCAAGTGTAGTGGCGGGTGCCTGTAGTCCCAGCTGCTTGGGAGGCTGAGACAGGAGAATGGCGTGAACCTGGGAGCCATAGCTGGCAGTGAGCCGAGATCCGGCCACTGCACCCAAGCCTGGGCTACAGAGCAAGACTCCATCTCCAAAAAATAAATAAATAAAATAAAAAATGAAGGGGCTGTGTAGGAAAGAATGCTGGTGAGGACCAGGAATCGAGCACAGCCCTCCCTGTTCTCTACATTGACAGCCAGCAAGGAACAGGGACCTCAGTCTTACAACTGCCAGAAACTGCATTCTGCCACCTCTGTATAAGCCTGAAGGAGTATTCAAAATGAAAACACAGCTTTTGGAAGCCCAGAAGAGAGATTCCATCCACAATTTTGCCCAGATTTCTGATCAAGGAACTATAAGCAGATAAATGGGTGTTGTTTCGCCAGGCATGGTAGTGCACGAATGAATTGATGAATTGATATGCACACTAGTTACATAAAATAAAAATTTTCTGAACTTTTTCCGTGTTTTGCACTTTATAATTATCTGTAATGCAATTTAATACACTCATATTTCATTCATTCAGTCGACAAAAATTAATTTAGTCCCTACGATAAACCAGATATCCCCTCATATGCTCACGTGCCTGACACTCCAGAAGTTTCTCAAGACCGAGGTGGAGACACTGGAGTGTTTTAAGTGGAGAGATGACACACTCCGACTCCCAGGAGCAGGACCACTGTGAAAAGAACAGTCACGTAACAGGTCATGGGACAGTGCTAGTGTCACAACTCACAAGTGACAGTGTGGTGGGGACTAAGGGGACAGGAGGGCCTGAAGGATGAAAAGGACGGAGAGAAGGGCTGGAGAAGCAGGAGGTGAAGAAAAGGAGCAGAGGAAAGAATTCGAAAGCAGCAGAATTCTTAGGTTTAAATACATTGTTTTATGGATTTTAATACATCCATCTACAGAGCCTAGCAGGGTGTCCTTGGCAGTTGGCCTTTAATACCTCATGTGGGTCTGCCTAAAAACTAATTTTTTAATGTTAATCAGGTTTAAAAATTACTAAGTGTTCCTATAAAATATACACAACACTTAGCAGTGGATACTTCCTAAAAACAGGCAGTGCATGAGCACTAGTGAGGGGCATTGTGACTACATTGAACAGTTGCAACTTTGAGGTGAATAAAGCCTGTACTGACTCCTGGTTGCAACTACCTGGTTGCAAAGTACACAGTGTGCTACTTTGTATTGAGGAGATATCCTGGACTCACACAGAAACTCAGAGCTATGGAATGATGGCAAATTTAAAATATGACAAGCGGGAGTCACAGGTACACTGCAAAAGTGAAACTTAGAAGCTTTGTGAGTCCTGTTGTAACGCTTTTGGGCACATTTATACATCATGGGGCCAAAGTCACATTTTTTACCGATTAGATTCCTGATCATTCAGGGGTTACCAAGGTTCTGCTATCCAATGTATTTAATAAACAAATAAATAAATAAACTGGTCTCTATTCTGTCTCATGCACTCAGGCACAACTTTTCCCAATAAAAAAAAAAAAAAAAAGGAAAACAAAAAACAGTTTCTACACCTCCATTCCCAGAGCAAGCTCACTCTCTGTCACCAAACTCCGTGGGTGGCTTTTCTTCTAGAAGAGTCCAGGTGGACAGGGAGTCCAGTTCAGGGACGGAGATTCCTGGATGAAAAGTGAAGGGAGAGGGACAGGGCCCATGCCGAGGGTTTCTTCCTGGTTTCTCAGACAGCTCCTGGGCCAAGACTCAGGGAAACACTGAGACAGAGCGCTTGGCACAGGAGGAGCGGGGTCAGGGCGAAGTCCCAGGGCCAGGCGTGGCTCTCAGGGTCTCAGGCCCCGAAGGCGGTGTATGGATTGGGGAGGCCCCGCCTTGGGGATTCGCCACCTCCGCAGTTTCTCTTCTTCTCACAACCTGCGACGGGTCCTTTTTCCTGGATACTCACGAAGCGGGCACAGTTCTCATTCCCACTAGGTGTCGGGTTTCTAGAGAAGCCAATCGGTGCCGCCGCGGTCCCGGTTCTAAAGTCCCCACGCACCCACCGGGACTCAGATTCTCCCCAGACGCCGAGGATGGTGCTCATGGCGCCCCGAACCCTCCTCCTGCTGCTCTCAGGGGCCCTGGCCCTGACCCAGACCTGGGCGCGTGAGTGCAGGGTCTGCAGGGAAATGGTCGGGAGGAGCGAGGGGCCCGCCCGGCGGGGGCGCAGGACCCAGGGAGCCGCGCAGGGAGGAGGGTCGGGCGGGTCTCAGCTCCTCCTCGCTCCCAGGCTCCCACTCCATGAGGTATTTCTACACCACCATGTCCCGGCCCGGCCGCGGGGAGCCCCGCTTCATCTCCGTCGGCTACGTGGACGATACGCAGTTCGTGCGGTTCGACAGCGACGACGCGAGTCCGAGAGAGGAGCCGCGGGCGCCGTGGATGGAGCGGGAGGGGCCGGAGTATTGGGACCGGAACACACAGATCTGCAAGGCCCAAGCACGGACTGAACGAGAGAACCTGCGGATCGCGCTCCGCTACTACAACCAGAGCGAGGGCGGTGAGTGACCCCGGCCCGGGGCGCAGGTCACGACCCCTCCCCATCCCCCACGGAGGGCCGGGTCGCCTCGAGTCTCTGGGTCCGAGATCCTCCCCGAAACCGCGGGACCCCGAGACCCTTGACCTGGGAGAGGCCCAGGCGCCTTTACCCGGTTTCATTTTCAGTTTAGGCCAAAATCCCCGCGGGTTGGTCCGGGCAGGGCGGGGCTCGGGGGACCGGGCTGACCGCGGGGGCGGGGCCAGGTTCTCACACCATGCAGGTGATGTATGGCTGCGACGTGGGGCCCGACGGGCGCTTCCTCTGCGGGTATGAACAGCACGCCTACGACGGCAAGGATTACATCGCTCTGAACGAGGACCTGCGCTCCTGGACCGCGGCGGACATGGCAGCTCAGATCACCAAGCGCAAGTGGGAGGCGGCCCGTCGGGCGGAGCAGCGGAGAGTCTACCTGGAGGGCGAGTTCGTGGAGTGGCTCCGCAGATACCTGGAGAACGGGAAGGAGACGCTGCAGCGCGCGGGTACCAGGGGCCACAGGGCGCCTCCCGGATGGCCTGTAGATCTCCGGGGCTGGCCTCCCACAAGAAAGGGAGACAAATGGGACCAACACTATAATATCGCCCTCCCTCTGGTCCTGAGGGAGAAGAATCCTCCTGGGTTTCCAGAGAGTGACTCTGAGGGTCCGCCGTGCTCTCTGACACAATTAAGGGATGAAATCTCTGAGGAAATGAAGGGAAGACAATCCCTGGAATACTGATGAGTGGTTCCCTTTGACGCTGGCAGCAGCCTTGGGCCCCGTGACTTTTCCTCTCAGGCCTTGTTCTCTGCTTCACACTCAATGTGCCTGGGGGTCTGAGTCCAGCTCTTCTGAGTCCCTCAGCCTCCACTCAGGTCAGGACCAGAAGTCGCTGTTCCCTCCTCAGGGACTAGAATTTTCCACGGAATAGGAGATTATCCCAGGTGCCTGTGTCCAGGCTGTTGTCTGGGTTCTGTGCTCCCTTCCCCACCCCAGGCGTCCTGTCCATTCTCAAGATGGCCACATGCGTGCTGGTGGAGTGTCCCATGACAGATGCAAAATGCCTGAATTTTCTGACTCTTCCCGTCAGACCCCCCCAAGACACATATGACCCACCACCCCATCTCTGACCATGAGGCCACCCTGAGGTGCTGGGCCCTGGGCTTCTACCCTGCGGAGATCACACTGACCTGGCAGCGGGATGGGGAGGACCAGACCCACACACGGAGCTCGTGGAGACCAGGCCTGCAGGGGATGGAACCTTCCAGAAGTGGGCGGCTGTGGTGGTGCCTTCTGGAGAGGAGCAGAGATACACCTGCCATGTGCAGCATGAGGGTCTGCCAGAGCCCCTCACCCTGAGATGGGGTAAGGAGGGAGATGGGGGTGTCATGTCCCTTAGGGAAAGCCAGAGCCTCTCTGGAGAGCTTTAGCAGGGTCAGGGTCCCTCACCTTCCCCCCTTTTCCCAGAGCCATCTTCCCAGCCCACCATCCCCATCGTGGGCATCGTTGCTGGCCTGGTTCTACTTGTAGCTGTGGTCACTGGAGCTGTGGTCGCTGCTGTAATGTGGAGGAAGAAGAGCTCAGGTAAGGAAGGGGTGAGGAGTGTGGTCTGAGATTTCTTGTCTCACTGAGAGTTCCAAGCCCCAGGTAGAAGTGCCCTGCCTGGTTACTGGGAAGCACCATCCACACTCATGGGCCTACCCAGCCTGGGCCCTGTGTGCCAGCACTTACTCTTTTGTAAAGCACCTGTTACAATGAGGGACAGATTTATCACCTTGATGACTGTGGTGATGGGACCTGATCCCAGCAGTCACAAGTCACAGGGGAAGGTCCCCGAGGACAGACCTCAGAAGGGCGGTTGGTCCAGGACCCACATCTGCTTTCCTCATGTTTCCTGATCCCGCCCTGGGTCTGCAGTTGCACATTTCTGGAAACTTCTCTGGGGTCCAAGACTTGGAGGTTCCTCTAGGACCTTATGGCCCTGGCTTCTTTCTGGCATCTCACAGGACATTTTCTTCCCACAGATAGAAAAGGAGGGAGCTACTCTCAGGCTGCAAGTAAGTATGAAGGAGGCTGATCCCTGAAATCCTTTGGATATTGTGTTTGGGAGCCCATGGGGGAGCTCACCCACCCCACAATTCTTCCTCTAGCCACATCTACTGTGGGATCTGACCAGGTCCTGTTTTTATTCTACTCCAGGCGGCAACAGTGCCCAGGGCTCTGATGTGTCTCTCACAGCGTGAAAGGTGAGACCTTGGGGGGCCTGATGTGTGGGGGGTGTTGGGGGGGAACAGTGGACACAGCTGTGCTATGGGGTTCTTTGAATTTGATGTTTTGAGCATGCGATGGGCTGCCAAAGTGTCATCCATTACTGGGACAGATATGAATTTGTTCATGAATATTTTTTCTATAGTGTGAGACAGCTGCCTTGTGTGGGACTGAGAGGCAAGATTTGTTCACACCTTCCCTTTGTGACTTGAAGAACCCTGACTTTCTGCAAAGGCACCTGAATGTGTCTGTGTTCCTGTAGGCATAATGTGTGGAGGAGGGGAGACCAACCCACCCTCATGTCCACCATGACCCTCTTCCCCACGCTGATCTGTGTTCCCTCCCCAATCATCTTTCCTGTTCCAGAGAGGCGGGGCTGAGATGTCTCCATCTTTTTCTCAACTTTATGTGCACTGAGCTGTAACTTCTTACTTCCCTCTTAAAATTAGAATCTGAGTAAACATTTACTTTTTCAAATTCTTGCCATGAGAGGTTGATGACTTAATTAAAGGAGAAGATTCCTAAAATTTGAGAGACAAAATAAATGGAACCCATGAGAACCTTCCAGAGTCCATGTGTTTCTTGTGCTGATTTGTTGCAGGGGAGGAGAATAGATGGGGCTGTGCCTAGTGGGTGCTCAGGCCAGTATGGACTTTATGTGGTCACTGCTCAGCTGGGTCATCTTTGCTCCTTCATTCTCCTTGGCCCTTCAGTAGAACCTTGTCCCACCACCACCTGTGATCACAGGGACTTGGATGTCACCTACGGTGGTCCCTGCATACAAATCTCATTGTGGTATCAAGAGACTAATTTTCAGACCTGTCCAGCTCTTGCCCTCCTCCCAGGGCTCTTTCCTGGATTGTAGTTTTCATCTTGTCTCCAATCTTTTTAAAGGAAGCAGATTCTGAAATTTGCAGAGAGGAGGGGTCCCATAGTTTCTCATCATAGTGAACTTTCTGTTGGAGCTCCTCTTCTGCTCTCCTACTCTTCTTCCTGCCCTGAGTTGTAGTAATCCTAGTGCTGGCTCCAATCCAAACTCATGGATTTACAAAGCAGAGTCTAATTTAGATTCATACGTGGTTGGAAAATTGTACCCATAAGCCTAGGGTTATCTTTCCTGAAGAGAAAAATATGGTTGTGTGCTGCAGTGTGCAGGAGGGTTGGTGTGGGAAGAGGTAGGGAGGGAGGGAGGACACACAAGCACTCCTGGTGAGAAAAGCACTGGCGGCATCGATGTCCACATGAGATGATGTTGTTCTTTAGCTGCCACAAAACAGCATTTGCCCTGAGGCTACCTTAACAAAGATATTGGCTTTAGAATAGAGAAGTGCTCTACAGTGATCATTCATTCAACTGACATTTGTTGTCTGCTAGGGATATGACTGCTTTTGCGTTTAGAAAGCATCATTAAGGTGAAAACAGAAAAATTTCTGGTGTTGTGGTACATATGTTCTAGATGCTAGCTTGTCTAACCCGTAGCTCGCAGGCTGAATGTGGCCCAGGACAGTTTTGAATGTGAGGAGTTTTTGCTTTTCTGTGGCGGACCTGAGACCTGGAGTGAGTGCACCCACCTCCCTCAGGATCAGGAGTGAATGCTTTAGGAACCCTCCTTTGCAGTGACCTGCAAAAGATAGAGGGCACGGTTACTGTGAGAACCCAGAGTAGCAGCCAAAGGGGCTCAACCTTCATGGAGTTTTGGGAAAGGTTAGTAAAAGGTGGTGTCCCAGCGTCAGAACAGATGGGCAGCCAGCGAGGGCACTGCTTCATATCTATGATGGGAATGCAAGAATTGAGGAGCAGGAGACTGAGGGTGTTTGATCAAATACAAAGTCATGATCCCAGTCTCAATTCCTAGACTTCAGCCAAGCTTCAGATTCAGAATCTACAGTGGGGCTTAAGGAGGCCAGGAAATAAACCTGGACACATTATGGCCCACTGTGGGACCACTGGGTTCATAAACCCAGTCCTGGTTATCTCCCCATTCTCCACATGCATAATTGGCCTTGATGCACTGGCAAAGGGAGTCACCCCCACACTACATCCCTAGTCTGGAGAGTAAGGGCTATCATTGTGCTGAAGCCCAAAGGGAATCATCTAAAACTTCCCTCATCCCAGCCAAGCCAGAAGCAATATTGTGCCCCAGGTGGGACTTCAGGAGGGTACTGCAGGTATTGTAGGGGTGGCACTGCCATTAGAGAGCTGAAGGATGGGGGGTGGTGTTGGGATTGCCTATTATCTCCATATAATTCAGCAGTCTGTCCCTGAAGAAGCCTGATAAAGAATGAATGGAATTACTCCAGACTTGACCAAGTAGGAGTCCTGATTGCAGCTGCCATGCTGGCTGGATATCACTGCTTGGGGAGATTAATAAGGCCTCAGGCACATGGCAAACAGCCATGCATTTGGTGAGTGCATTCTTTCCCATTCCATTTAGAAAATGGATATGGAATGATTCACATTCACATGGGATTTATAATACATTTATTGATAGCTTGCCTCAGGGCTACTTTAACTCCTCAACCTTCTATAAATATCACCTTAAGAGATCTGGACAAATCAGACATCTCACAGAATACTAAATCTCTTCGTTTCATTGGCAATATCACATAGATTGGGATGGATGAGTAAGAGGAGGAAAGTACGCTGAATTCTTTGGCAAAACGTGTGCACTACAGAAGGTGAAGATTAACCTTACAGAGCTTCAAGAGTGGCCACTGCAGTGAAGTGTTATGGGTCCAGTGGTTAGGGGCATGCAGGGCTGTCCCCTCCAAAGTAAAAGACAAACTTGCATCTTGCATCCTCAACAGAAGGAAGGAAGCACACTATTTGGTGAGCTTCTCTGGGTCCTGGCAACACCACATTCCACATCTAAGTATATTGTTTGGCCCACTGTCTGGGTATAATATAGGAAGAGGTCAGCTTTGAGTGCGGACTAGACAGGAAAGGACACTGCAGCAGATCCAGGCGGTGGTGTACCAGGTCATCAACTCTCAGTCCCCTGGTGCTGGGGGTGACAGCGTGGGGAAAGATGCTAGATGGAGCTGAACCAAGCAGCTGAGATCAAGTGAGCTGAGATCCCGCCCCTACACTCCAGCCTGAGCAACAAGAGTGAAACTCCATCTCAAAAAGAAAAAAAAATTAAAAGGATAAGCACCCTCCCACATCAGAGATAACTCCCCAACACATAATATACATGCGGTGTGAGTTCTCTGTATGGGGAAGTTAAAAAAATACAGGTCAAACTGTGATTTGGGTATTATTGTAAAAATCTTCAGTGACAATGCCAAGGAATAGCAAATACAAGACTCAAGACATAGGTTCCTTTTAGGGGATAGGATTGGACAACAGCCTAGGGTGGCTTCATAGGTTCTGTTTCTTATGCCAGGAGGGGATATCCAGGTAGTTAGTTACTTGATCATAAAACTTTATTTATTTATTTATTTATATATTTTGAGTCTCGCTCTTGTTGCCCAGGCTGGAGTACAGTGGCATGATCTCAGTTCACTGCAACCTCCGCCTCCCAGGTTCAAGGGATTCTCCTGCCTCAGCCTCCTGAGCAGCTGGGATTGCAGGCAAATGCCACCACTCCCAGCTAATTTTTGTATTTTTAGTAGAGACGGGCTTCACCATGTTGACCAGGTTGGTCTGGAACTCCTGACCTCAGGTGATCCACCCACTTCAGCCTACCAAATTGCTGAGATTACAGGCATGAGCCACCACTCCTGGCCCACAAATCTTTAAAGTGGTATTTTTCAAAATGCACCTTGTGTGCCATTCCTGATTGATTGTTTGGAAATGAAAGAGAAAAGAAAATGCCAAAGTTCATCACAAGCATCCTTTGCGATAACTACTCGTAGTAAAACAAAGCCGCAGCTGGCCGGGCACGGTGGCTCACTTCTGTGATCCTAGCACTTTGGGAAGTCGAGGCCTGTGGATCACGAGATCAGGAGTTCGAGACCAGCCTGACCAACATGGTGAAACCTCGTCTTTACTAAAAATACAAAAATTAGCTGGGCGTGTTGGTGCGTGTCTGTAATCCAAGCTACTCAGAAGGCTGATGCAGGAGAATCGCTTGAACCTGGAAGGCAGAAGTTGCAGTGAGCTGAGATCCTGCCATCGCACTCCAGCCTGGGTGACAGAGCCATACTCCATCTCAAAACAAACAAACAAACAACCACAAAAAACAAGCCACAGCCAATTTTAAGGAGCCATGTGAGAGGACCAGGATGCCATGAAAAACAGCCTTGGCTACAAATAGGTCATTTGATCCTTGGCTAGTTGGCAACTCTCTACATTTTCTGATACACAGTGTTCAATCTGGTAGGTAAGGCAATAGTATCTTGCAAAGAATTTGAGAATTTGATATGTTGCTCACATTTTACCACACATACAAGTGAATTAAACTTTTACAGAATAGAAAAAAAGCATTGTTGAGCAAAATAAATTAAATGAAAAGACATAAATGAATAACTAGTGATGAAATAGCAATAAGAATGGAAAACACGAAAGAGCTGCTTTTAAAGCAACATTAGAAGCACAAAATAACAGTGTTTTTCAGAATCATACTGGAGTCCAAATCACTTCTACCACATCTAATTAAAAACCACAGTGAAAGATGTTAAACTGATCACAGGATGCCCACTGAATAGCCAGTTACTGAAAAATCTTGTTCCTAGATTGAATTTAACCATTTCCACCTACCACATCAAACCAAATCATTGTCATGATGCTAAGCCAGTTGTACAGACAAAGATGTGAGACTCACATTTTTCTAATTGCAAAGCACCCTGATTAGGCAAATATTTTTGTAGATGCTTGAGTCAGAAAATTGTCATTTTGGGCATTCTTTTTTTTTTTTTTTTTTTTTTTGCCTTCAAGCATCTGTTTAACAAAGCACATCTTGCACCGCCCTTAATCCATTTAACCCTGAGTGGACACAGCACATGTTTCAGAGAGCACGGGGTTGCGGGTAAGGTTATAGATTAACAGCATCCCAAGGCAGAAGAATTTTTCTTAGTACAGAACAAAATGGAGTCTCCTATGTCTGCTTCTTTCTACACAGACACAGCAACAATCTGATTTCTCTGTCTTTTCCCCACATTTCCCCCCTTTCTATTCGACAAAACCGCCATCGTCATCATGGCCCCTTCTCAATGAGCTGTTGGGTACACCTCCCAGACGGGGTGGCGGCCGGGCAGAGGGGCTCCTCACTTCCCAGACGGGGTGGCCGGGCAGAGGCGCCCCCCACCTCCTGGACGAGGTGGCTGGCCGGGCGGGGGCTGCCCCCCACCTCCCTCCTGGACGGGGTGGCTGCCGGGCAGAGACACTCCTCACTTCCCAGACGGGGTGGCTGCTGGGCGGAGGGGCTCCTCACCTCTCAGACGGGGCGGCCGGGGAGAGACGCTCCTTACCTCCCAGACGGGGTGGCTGCTGGGCGGAGGGGCTCCTCACATCCCAGACAGGGCGGCGGGGCAGAGGCGCTCCCCACATCTCAGATGATGGGCGGCCGGGCAGAGACGCTCCTCACTTCCTAGACCGGATGGCGGCCGGGCAGAGGCTGCGATCTTGGCACTTTGGGAGGCCAAGGCAGGCAGCTGGGAGGCAGAGGTTGTAGCGAGCCGAGATCACGCCACTGCACTCCAGCCTGGGCAACATTGAGCACTGAGTGAGAGAGACTCCGTCTGCAATCCCGGCACCTCAGGAGGCCAAGGCTGGCAGATCACTCCCAGTTAGGAGCTGGAGACCAGCCTGGCCAACACAGTGAAACCCCGTCTCCACCAAAAAAATACGAAAACCAGTCAGGCATGGTGGTGCGCGCCTGCAATCCCAGGCACTCTGCAGACTCTAAATTATTCAACGCCTCAGACACTAACTTTCCAAGGAATAGGAGATTATCCCAGGTGCCTGTGGCCAGGAGGTGTCTGGGTTCTGTGCTCCCTTCCCCACCCCAGATGTCCTATCCATTCTCAGGATGGTCACATGGGTGCTGCTGGAGTGTCCCATGAGGAATGCAAAGTGCCTCAATTTTCTTACTCTTCCCTTCAGAATCCCAGAATACATGTGTGATCCACTACCCCATCTCGGACCATGAGGCCGCCCTGAGGTGCTGGGTCCCGGGCTTCTACCATGTGGAAATCACAGTGACCCAACTGTGGGATGGGGAGGACCAAATTTAGGACGCAGAGCTTGTGGGGACCAGACCTGCAGGGTATAGAACCTTCCAGAAGTGGGCAGCTGTGATGCTGTCTTCTAGAGACAAGTAGAGATACACATGCCATGTGCAGCAGGAGGCACTGCCAGAGCCCCTCACACTGAGATGGGCTAAGGAGATGAATGAGGGGCCATGTCTCTTCTCAGGGAAAGCAGGAGCCCTTCTGGAGGCCTTCAGCAGGGTCAGGGCTGAGGCCTGGGGGTCAGGACCCCTCACGTTCCCCTCCTTTCTTAGGGCCATCTTCCCAGCCCACATTCCTCATCATGGGCATCGTTACCGTCCTGGTTGTTCTAGGTGCTGTGGTCACTGCTGTGATGTGGAAGAATAAGACCCCAGGTAGGAAAGGGGTGAGTTCCAAGATTTCTTCTTCCATTCGTGGATTTCAAGCTCCAGATGGAAGTTGGCTCATTTCCTGCCTAGTTGTGAGACACCATCTCCACACACATTTACCCTGTTCAGATGCCCTGTCAACTCTCACTCTTTTGTAAAGCACCTGTGAAATTGAAGGACAAATTTATCACCTTGATTGTGATCATGGGAACCTGACTCCCAGCAGTCACAAGTCAGGAGAATGTTCCTGCTGAGGACAGATGTCAAAAGGACATTTGGTTCAGCTTCAACACATCCTCTTCCCTCGGGTTTTCTGATCCTGACCTGGGTCTGCAGTCACAGTTCTGGAAACTCCTCTAGGATCTCATGGCCCTGCCTCTTCCCTGGCCTCTCACAGTTTGTTTTCTTTCCTCATATGGAAAAGGAGTCAGCTATGCTCAGGCTTCAAGTAAGTGTGGTAGGGGTGGGAGAGTGATTCCTGAGATCCTTGGAATAGTGTAGACAGGAGCCCATGGGGGAGGTCACCACCCCACAATTCCTCCTTTAGTCACATCACCTGTGGGCTCTGACCAGACTTTGTTTTTGTTCCACCCCAAACAGGAACAGTACCCAGGGCTCTGATGTGTCTCTCAAGTCTTGTAAAAGTGACACCTTAGAGGGCCTGAAGTGAAGGAGGAGTTGGGGCAGATGGGACACAACTAGGCTCTAGAGAGTCTTTGATTTGGAATTTTTCAATGTGTGGTGGGCTGTTCAGTGTCACCACTTACCATGACTGACTTGAATTTGTTCACGACTATTTTCTTTCCAAGACTGCCTTGTGAGGGACTGAGATGCAAGATTTGTTCATGGCTCCACTTTGAGACTTCAAGGGCCTCTGTTTTCTCTTTCTGCCAAGGCATCTGAATGTGTCTATGTCCCTGGTAACATGTGAGAAGTGGAGAGACCAGCCCACCCTCATGTCCACCATGACCCCTGATATTGTTTGGATCTGTGTCCCCACCCAAATCTCATGCTCACTTGTAATCCCTAATGTTGGAGGTGGTGCTTGGTGGGACGTGATTGGCTCATGAGGATGGATGATTCATGAATGGTTTAGAATCATCTCTTTCATGCTGTTCTTGTGATAGTTCTTGGAGGCATTGTGCCACCTCCCTAGGGATCTGTGGAACTTTAAACTTGAGAGTGATGATTAAGGGTATCTGATGGAAGAAATTTCTCAGTAGCATAGAATTCAGGATTTGGTCTGGCTGCCTGTAATAGCCTATGTGCATATGTGTGAGCAAAGAAATGACCTGAAACTGGAACTGATATTTAAATGGGGAAATTTAATACCCAGGAAAATTCTTAGCGGAGCTGCAGCAACAGGACCCCTGCCAGGACTACTAAATGGTAGAGCCACTGGCTATGTGCAACCTCAGCCTGGAAAAGCCATAGGCATTCAATTTTCTCCCATGACAGCAGCTATATGGGTTATGTTCAGCAAAGCCATAAATGTGGAGCTGCAAATGGCATTAGGAGCCCAGCAGTTGCACCAGCCACTGTGCTCTGGATTCAAAATATAGAGTCAAAGGAGATTCTTTTAGACCTTTAAGTTTTAATGTCTGCCATGATGAGTTTCAATCTTATGAGGAAACTGCATTCATTTCTTTTGGCCCATTTATATACCTTTTGGAATGGAAATGTACAAGAAATGTCTCTTCCACTGTTTTATTAATATTTTAGATGCAAATAACATTTTTTAAAAAATTTTACAGGCTCAAAGCTATAAGAATTTACCTTGCGTCTCAGATGAGACTCTAGAATTTTGAGTTGATGCTGGAACAACCTAACACATTTGGGACAATTGGGAGTAGATTATTATATTTTGCAATGTGAGAAGAACATGACCTTTGGCTGGCTAGGGAGGGGATGCAATGATATAAACATTTATCCCCTGATACCTCATGTTAAAATCTAACGCCCACTGTGGGACTTGGGGCCTAATGGCCACCATTTGGGTCATGGTGACCAATCTTTTATGAATCGAGAGATACTGCCCTCTCTCGGGAATGAATGAATTGTTGCTCTATTATTTTCCAAGAGAGCTAGTTGTTAAAAAGACCCTGGCAACTTCCTACTCTCTGTGTTCCTCTGTTACCATGTGATCTCTGCATATACCAGCTCCCCTTTGTCTTCTGCCATGAGTGGAAGCAGCCTGAGGCCCTCACTAAATGCGCAAACATTTCCAGACATCAGAATCTTGAGCCACATGAACCTCGTTTATATAAATTAGTCAGTCTCAGACATTTCTTTATAGCAACACAAAATGGAAAAAGATAACCCTCGCATCACAGGTATGTGTCTCTGGCAGCTAGCCACCGTTCTTAAGATATCCAGGATCCACTCAGCCAAGAGTCTTCTCATCAGTACTCTAAAGACACTCTTATCACTCAAGAGAGTCTAAGGTTTTTAGGAGAAACCAGGGACAAAGACTAAATGTTTTTGTGATAACTCAGATTGCCCACTTTTCTTTGACCACATATCTTTTACAGGAAAAAGGATTGTAACAGTAAAGAGGTATTGGCATATTATCAGAGTCTCATCCATTCATTCAAAATTAGGCCAGTTTATCATCCTCTTGTATGAATATGTCTCCCAGAATGAAATCACTCAGCTTTGCTGACAACACTCAATCTTACCAGGTTCCAAAAACAAGGATGGTCTCAGGGACATACAGCTTCACTCTTTTAGGCATCCCGTATAATTGACCTAAGTGACAATATCTTCTCTTGCTCACACCACCTTTGAGGAGTTAAGCTAATATTGAATTTTTCTCATTATATAACCCTTTGATTTATTCACTTACCCTCAGCCACTATTCCTCCCTCTGTCCCTTTATATCAGTTGTTTCCAGGTTTGGGAGTGACATTAGGTTTGTCTGCTGGGCTGGCCTAGACTGCAGGCAGCAATAGTATTCTAGCATGTCTTCCCTCAGTCTAGTCTTGATCATAGAGGGTAGGTTATATAGGTAAGGAACTAGTGGGGGCTATCAGACCACCAGGCTATATAACTCTACTTACTGTTAATCCTAACTTTTCAGATGAAATGAATACTTGAGAATTCTTACATAAAGGTGTAAAAATATAGTTATGGTTTTTCGCTTAGGGATAATTCCTGTTTCTGGCACTTTTATTTACATCCCTATTCCTGGTACTATGGCATAACATATGAAAAAATAAATTTGAGGTGAAGTGTAGTCTTTATTCCAGCATCCTCTCCCCTTCAGAAGAATTGTATGTATCGTCGTAACAGCATCGTCCTGATCCATCAGGTAAAAGAGAGGATGCTACCTAGTGGAGTTATTCTTGCAGCCCCACTCATGTTGACAGCGAGCACATTCATGAAGATATAAAAGCCAGTCCTTCATGTTTATATTGCCCAACAATTAGATTGGCAGTTTTTAGACAAACAATGTTTCAATTGACCATTTCAATTTTCTATCAAATTTTCCCCTGAGGAGGACATGTCCCTCTGCATTGTTGGCCGTTTGAGGCTGTCAAGTGTGTTTTCTTGTGTAAAGTAGTGTGACTCGGCAGTCCAAATTGGTGCAACCTCTTCTTTTCTGGTCCTTGTATAGCCCTTGAAGCATTGACATCTACCCCTGGTTGAGCATAGCCCAATCCAGAGTCAGTGATTTTCCTGTCAAGATCCATTGGCAGCTCCTTTGGGGTTGCTGGCATCATTCTGGCTTGCCAGGTATTATGATCAAAGCCTTCCCACTAGAGAATCTGTCACATCTCCATCTGCTGCCTCTGTCTGTTTTCTTGACCAACAGTGAAAAAAGAGATTATGAGAAATAAGATAAATTACCAAAATTGTGAACAAAAGAGATTATCACTAATGACCCTTAGGAAGTTAAAAAACATTATAAGTGAATACTCTGAAAAACCTGAAGCCAATAAGTTAGACCACTTAGATAAAAAGGACCAATTCGTGCAGAGATAGAAATTGCCAAAACTGACCCAAATTAACTGGAAAACCTGAAGAGAACTGTGAACTAAGTCAGAAATTGAAAAACCTTCTCAAAAAGAAATGCCAAAGCCCAGATATCTTCACTGGTGAATTCTATCAAATATTTTGAAAGCTCTTTCAGACAAGAAGAGAGGAGGGAAGACTTTCCAGCCCATTTACAGAACTGGCATTACCCTCATATCAAAGTCACAGCAAGACTCACAGGAAAAGAGTGCCATACACCAGTGTCACCAATAAACATAAATGAAAACATCCTTAACAAACATTGGCAGATAATACAAAGCCACATAAAAACGGATTACACTCCATGACCAATGGGATTCATCCCAGGAACATATGGTTGGATTAACATTTGAAAATCAATTCATGGAATGCACTGTATTAATGGAAAAAAAGACATAATTATCTCAAAAGATGCAGAAGAAACAGTTGACAAAAATGTTAACATCACTCATGTTCATAAGTTTCAACAAAATAGGAATGGAGGAGACCTTCTTCACTCTGATAAAGGGCATCTATAAAAAACCCACAGCTAAAATCAAACTTAATGAAGAAAGACTGAAGACTGAATGCTTTTCTCCTAAGATGGGGATCAATGCAAGGATGTCCAATCCCACCACTTTTATTTAATATTATACTGGAGATTGTAGCCAGTGCAATAAGGCAGAAAATTAAAAATTAAAGGCATCCAGATAAAAAGGAAAACATACAATTCTATTCACAGATAACATGACCCTGTCTGTAGAATTCACAAGCAGATAAAAACTGGCTAGCACTAATAAATGAATCCAGAAGGGCCCATAGGATATCAAATCAATATAAAAATTAATTATTAACATATTTCTCTATAGAAGCAATGAAAATCTCAACTTTCCTATCACAGTAGTTACCAGAAGAGCGAAATAGGAATAAATTTAGGAAGACAGCAGTGTTTGTTCACTGAAAATAAAAAAACATTCCTCAGAGAAATTAAAGGTCTAAATAAATGGAGAGATGCGAGTTGGAAAGCTCGATAATACTGTTAAGATGGCAATTCTCCCCCAGTAGATCTATAGGTTCAACACAATCCCTATCAAAATCCCAGCAGGGATTTTATAGAAAATTGACAAAATAGGCCGGGCGCGGTGGCTCATGCCGGTAATCCCAGCACTTTGGGAGGCTGAGGCAGGCGGATCATGAGGTCAGGAGATCCAGACCATCCTGGCTAACACGGTGAAACCCCATCTCTACTAAAAATACAAAAAACTAGCCGGGCGTGGTGGTGGGCTCCTCGGGAGGCTGAGGCAGAAAAATGGCATGAACCCGGTAGGCGGAGGTTGCAGTGAGCGGAGATCATGCCACTGCACTCCAGCCTGGGTGACAGAGTGAGACTCCGTCTCAAAAAAAAAAAAAAAAAGAAAAAAAGAAAAGAAAATTGACAAAATAATCCTAAAAATGTATATTAAAATGCAGAGGATGCAGAAGGGCCAACACAAATTTGAAAAAAAAAATGGAATGTCATATGAAACTACAATAATCCAGACAGTGTGAAACTGAGAGACATAGAGATCAATGAACAGAAGTGAGAATCTAGAAAGATATTCTTACTTTCTTTGTCAATTGATTTTCAATGAAGTTGCATAGGTAACACAATGTTACATTTAACACCATATAAAATATCAGCTCAAACAAATTAGAAACCTAAACAGCTAAAATTTATGAGTTAAAACTATAAAATTTCTAAAAGAAAACACAGGAGAAAATTTTTATTACTTTGGGTAGTTAGGCAAAGGATTCTTAGATAAAATACCAAAAGCATGATCTACAAATAAAAAAAAAAGAGAGAGAGAAATTGGGCTTAGTTAAAATTTAAAACTTGAGTGCTCCAAAAGACATTGAGAGAATGAGAAGACAAGCCATAGACAGGGAGAAAATATTTCACAATTTATCACAAATTACATTTGTGTTGAAGAACATGTTTCCAGAATAATGTGGCAAGTTCTTAAACTCAATGTGTAAGAAGATGAGCAACTCAACTGAAAATGAGCAAAACACACAAATATGCTCAACTGACATTTACAAAAGCACAAACACAATTCAATGAAGGAAGGAGAGCTTTCCCAACAAATGGTGCTGGAGCAACTGGACAACCACAGTGGAAAAAAAATAGGCTGAGCCCAAACCTCACGCTTTATACAAAAAAAAAAAACTCAAAATGAATCACAGGCTTTAATGTAAAACACACAGTTAAAATTACAAACATTGAGCCAGGTGTGGTGTCACAGGCCTGTACTCTCACCTACTCAGGAGACTGAGGTGGGAGGATCCCTTGAGCCCAGGAGTTCAAGGCCAGCCTAGGCAAGATTTTTTTTTAAATAAATAACAAATACATTAAAAAATTAAAATTACAAATCTTTTAACAAAAAGCCATCAGAACTAAGACTAGACAAAGAGTTCTTACACATAACACCAAAAGTATGATCTGTAAAAGAAAAAGTTACTAAACTGGATCTTATCAAAATTAAAACTGTTGCTCTGTGAGAGACCTATGAAGAGCATAAAAAGACAAGCTACAGAATGAGAGAAGATATTTGCAAATCACATATTCAATAAAGACTTGCATTCACAATATATGAAGAAATGTAAAAACTCAACAGTAAAAATGAAATCCAAATAAACAATAGGCAATGAGCAAGACATGAACAGACGTTTCACTGAAGAGGATAAACACCAGGCTAACAAGCAGATGAAAAGACACTCAACATCACTATCCAGTAGGAAAATACAAATTAAAACTGCAGTGATGAGAATGGCTGAAATACAAAATAAAGGTAGCAACAGATGCTGGCAAGGTTACAGAGAAACTGGATCATTCATATTGCTGGTAGGAATGGATTTTAAAATGGTACAGCCACTCTGGAAATGGATATTGCAGTTTTCTTCAAACTGAACATGCAATTTACCATATGACTAGAAATTGCCCTCCTAGGCACTTATTTCAAACAAGGGAAAACTTTATGTTCATGAAAAACCTGTATACAAATACTCTTGCAGCTTTATTCATAATACTCCTGGAAGTAATTATTCATAATTACTTCCATAAACTGGAAATAATGCAATTGTCTTTCAGTGGGTGAAGGAGATCTGCTGGTTGAACTCATAACTGAGTCTACACAAGTGCCCTTTCTCAAGACTACTATCCTGCTTCTCTTTGCATATCTCCCATTTTCTCACAAAGAATATTAAAGACATGTACTCAAGGATCAAAATTTAATGAACATAAATATTTTACTGCTCCATCAAAGGCATTCTTAAATGGGACTGCAGTTTGGAGCCACTGCCTTGGTTCTGCTAAGGTGCTGGGTGTGCTACCGACCTTGGCATTTGCAGCATTAATGGAAAAGTCAACATAATGAAACAGGCAAATGGCATCTTGGTATTACTGTGAAAACAGGTTTCCCTCCAGGACTCTCTGAAGGCAGCTCAGGGGGCCACACTTTCAAAATGGCAGAGATCAATTATAGTTCCTAGTGAGACCCAACCCCTAGCCTATTCAGATTCAGCACTCTCTCTCGCTCTTTTTTTTCCCTCATTCTTCCAACTTATAATTGTATATATTTTCAAATGTGCAAAGAAGCTGAAAGAATAGTGCAGTAAAATTCAAGTTATCACTCTGATATATCTGATTAATATCTCTTTATATGCATGAAAGCAGCGTGTGGAATGATAGACAATAGAGACCCAGAAGGGTAAGAGTGGTTGGCAGTGGGTGTATCGTAGAGGAGTTTCTTGTTGGGGTCAATGTATCTGTCTCCAGTGGTGGATGCACTGAAGGCCCTGACTTTACCACAACTCAATATAGCAATGTAGCAAAACTGCACCTGTGCCCCATGAATATATACGAATTTAAAAATTTAAAAATAAAATAACATCTCTCTTTGTAGATACAGGTAGACATGTTTGCATAGCATGTGTGTGAATGTGTGTGTATGTGTGTGTAGAGAGGCAGCAGGAATGAAGAGATTAAGATTTTGTGACTGAGCCATTCTAAAGTAACAAACATAAAACACGCATGGATAAATGTCTATGTGACAACAAACCTGAATATAAACATGAAAGAACATGTCTATAAACATATCTCTGGCTAGATAACCTATGAAAGAATTCCCTACCCCAGCTCCCTTACTGGTTACCCTGCGAACACAGGCAGGCAGGGAACAGGACCCAACTAGGTTCCCTCATCCTCTTGCTTCCAGGCAGGTCCTGCATCCACTCCTGCTGCACAGAGGGCTCCCATCTCTGCCTTGGTCGGTTTCACAGGTGCTCCCCTAACTCTCTCTGCCACCACTGCCTTACCTGGGTGGAGCTGAGGCTGCCTTGACCAAGAACAGCACCACCCATCTGTGTGCCCCAAGACCAGGAAGTTAGGAGGAACCACGCAACAGAGTCAATAACTATCCCACCTCCCCAGTCAGTCTGAACTGATGGCGGGAGATGCTGATGCTTGCTTATCCTCATTCCCCGTTTATTTATTCTTCGTTAATTCAGTCCAAACTCCCCTCAGTCTGAACTGATGGCGGGAGATGCTGATGCTTGCTTATACTCATTCCCTGTTTATTTATTCTTCATTAATTCAATCCAAACTCCCCTCAGTCTGAACTGATGGTGGGAGATGCTGATGCTTGCTTATCCTCATTCCCCGTTTATTTATTCTTCATTAATTCAATCCAATCTCCCCAGCAGTCACTTCACCCAGGAAGCAGACTGACCTCTGCTCTTCATAATCAGGAAACCCCAAAGCACTCTCCATCACCTCCCTGATATCACCCTTCAGCTCTACATCATCACATGTGGGCTCTAACTCTGAAGGCAGGTGTCCTCCCACAGGGTCAACCCCTGAACATTGGCCCCAGATGTCTCCCCATCTCTTCCCAGCCCTTTCAGTACTGCTGTGAATCTGTCCCTCACTGAGAACTGGCGGGGCGATGTGGGGGAGGAGGGGAAATTTCTTGGTGCTGTGTCAAAGCATCAAGACAGACCTCTCCTTCTCTCCTGAACCTCACACTCTATCTCTTCCCAGACACTTGAAATAAAACGCAGACCAGAAATGTCTATTTAAGAGTCAACACAATTTCTTTTTCTAGACAAGTTTCTCTTATTCTCAGGGCTCAGCTATGACTGTGGGTGACCAAACAACTATTCACAAAGGACAGAACTCGCTTCAATGCCAGCTTATGAATCCACACCTTGCCACCTGCAGAGGTGGAAAAAGGCACCTAAATCCTCGATCCTATAGTTCTTCCTGCCCTTAACTCCTCACACACATCTGGACACTTGGAGAGTGTGGAGGGCACCCAGGGTGCAGGGTGGCAGTGGAGGCCTTGGGAAAACTGGCCAGGAAGCCAAGATATGCACCTCAGGTGACTAAATTTTTTTACTGTTCTGCACTTGCTGGAGAATGACCCCAAAAGATAAGATCAATTTGTTGACTACCAACTTATTTGGCTGAGCCATGGACATGGAGCAGATGAGCATTGCCTTTACCTATGACATGCATGAGGATTCTGAGACCTACCTGCAGCAGTTAAGCCCCACACCCAGAGGGACACCCACTCTCCCACCTCCTTACTTTCTGTATCTTTTCACACTTTACATCCTCATCCTTCCCTCTGAGAGTCTTCCCTCTTTGGGTCTTCTAGTCCTATCCTACCCTCTATCCCCTTCCAGGTGGCACAGGGCTTGACCATCACATTTGTGTCAGGTGACAATAATGCCAGGATCCTCAGTATGGGCAGCATCGCTTTGAGGTCAGTGATAGTGAGCTGCCTGATGAGACAGACATCTCCTCCACAGTGAGTGCTGATGTCATGAAGCCCTTTAGTTCTTCCTAGTTCCTTAATATGTTTGTCTTCAATCCTGTCATGGGCACCTGATGCATAATGGACACTTGGCTGCTTCATGCACCCTGGTCTTTGATGCCGTGTTGGGATGTTTTTCTGACCGTTATGTGGGGTATCTGTTTTCTTTCATCATATTACATCTCTTCCCCCACTCCCAAGTCTGTCCTCTGAACCCACACAGTACACCAGCATCTGCATGTGTGCCGTGTGCTCCTGCCTCACTTTTTCCTTTTCATGCCTTATTCTCACCAGGCCACATTTTCCCCTTAGTTGAACAGACACAGTAGGGGACTAGCCCATTCTGGCATGTGACCACGCTTCAGGAGGAGACTGCAGGTTGGGGGTGAAGGAGACTCTACTGACCCCACCCCTGACATCCTCTTCCCCCACCCCCTGGCTTCTGTCCTCTGCCTCAGCACCACTCCTGAACCCCCATTCCTGATTGTCAGAATTTTTAACATAACTAAAAATGAAACACAAGTGCATCTGCATTATGTGTGGGTGCTCTCTCCCTTTATTTTATTTGGGGTGAGGTTATTTTAGGGCATGGCCCAGGGTAAATTCCTGTAAGGCCTTGGTGCCCTGCTGTGAGGTCAAAGAGGGATGGGACTAAGACTGCAGAGCCCTGGCTCCCCCACTACCTGCCAATTGCCAGCCCTTTGTGGGGTCTCTTCTGCTTTCTCTGGCCTGGGAGATGCTGGGGTGTTTCTGATCCTGGGGCTCCTGGGGGTGGTGCACATTAGTTCCAGGCATGGAGGGTGCTGTGGGCACTGCTGGGAAGCTTGGGTGTCCCCTCCCAGGCTCTCTCCTCCCAGGCTCTCTCAGTGCCTCCTCATCTGTTTCTTTAGCTTTTGGATCTTGAGCACCAGGGCCTGGGCCCCCACCGACTCCTTCCCTTCCAGGAGGGCCTGGTCCAGCTCCAGCTGCTGTGCAAGCAACTCCTCAGCTTGGGCCAGCTCAGCTGTGTGGGGGGCTCAGGGCCCTGGTCAGAGGGAGTGGAGGAGGGAGCATCAGCCAGGGTAGAGGGGTTGAGGCCCTTGGAACCTGTGTTGCAAGATCTCATGGTAAGTGAGGAATTCGACCTCGTTTTCTCTTTTTCCAGCCCATTAGCTTAAGTCCACCTGTAGTGAGAATCCCAGGGAGCAACCTGTCTTGGGCATAGGCCTCTGGAGGGCAGATACAGATCCCTGGCTCAGGGGCTATATCTGGATGCCTTGAATGAGGATATGGGGTCACCGGAAAGAGACAACCAGATGTCTGTCCCCACTAATAAATGATTAACTGTTAGATGAGGGGGAATTCCTGTTCAAGGACTCTGGACTGTGCTGCTCTGGGCAGAGGGAGGGCTGGAGAGAGGGAGCCCTGAGGGCTGGGCTGGGGTGGGGGTGGAAGGAGCTGAGAGTTGGAAATAGGCAAAAAGCTGCAGAGGTGAGGGTAATGCAGGGTGGGATTGAGAGAATTTCCCCCGACTACTGTACTGATCCCTTCATCTCCTCCACCCGAGCACTTGGAGCCACATAGCGGGTGGCCTCATCTTCCCACTGTCCCAGAAGCTGTTCTGCCCTTCCATACTTGCCTTGGAGTTTTGGGAGCAGCATGTTTATGAGCCCTGGGGTGCCAGGGACCAGGAGGGCAGGAGGAGGTGAAGAAAACAGCACCGAGAGAGCCAGGGGAGTGGGAGGACTGTGGCAGGTGAGGCAAGGAGCTGTCTGAGCCGCTCAGCAGCCTTCAGGAGGCTCTCTCCAGGCCTGTCTTCACTCCAGTGCCTGGCCCTACCCAGGCCCCCACTCCCGCTCTGCTCTCAAGCTGGCCCCAGACAGGATCCCAAACAACTCCTGTTCCTAATGTGAAAAATGTTTCTGCCGCTTTAGGCAGAACTTGCTTTAGAGCACTGGCACAGCCTTCCGCAGGTCTTGTGTCTGATTCTCTTGGCACTGTGCCTTTTTTCACTTATTCTTCTGCAAGGAAGGAATTATATCACTGGTTGGGTGAGGCAACTGGCTCAGAGGGGTTCACTGAGCACTCACCCACTGGGCAAGTGTCTGTCAGGGCCAGCTATGGCCAAGATGTGTCCAAGGCTCTATAGCTAGCTGGTGGAAAGGCCTGGAGGGTTCATATTCAGGTCCACCTGACTTGAAAACTTATATTGACCTTACTTAAGTACTGATTCCCCCTTTATAATCCATGCCGCAAACTTCATTGTCTTATTTTAAGAAGTTGCCATAAGAGCCTTTAGCAACCACCCTCCTGATCAGCCAGCAGTCATCAACATTGAGGCAAGACCCTGCCCCAGCAAAAAGATTAAGATTAGCTGAAGCCTCAGATGATCCTTAGCATTTTTGAGCAATAGAGTAATTTTAAATTAAGGTATATACATAGTTCTTTTATACATAATGCTATCATACACTTAATAGGCTACAGTAGAGTGTGAATATAACTTTTCTATGCACTGGAAAAACAAAAATTTGTGTGACTTGTTTGTTGCCATGGTCTGAAACCAAATCTGCAGTGTCTCTGAGGTACGTCTGTAGTTTCCCTTTCCCTCTTCCTGCTGGCCCGGAATGACCTTGTTTCTTGCCCCTGTCTAGCCCTGCATGCTGCAGGGGTTTGCCTTCTCTGGTAGGTCTGGGAACTTTGCATCCTTGTAACCTTGGCTCCTGGCATATGACACTGGTACCAAGCTCTGTTGGACTAGTGAGCCTCCTCCCCACACACCTCCTGAACTAGAACCAAAGCTCTGTGCACGCACCGTGCATGTGTGAGCCAATGACAAGATGTTGTCTTCCTGCGAGTGTTCTGAAGGAGTGTTCTGTTGTGACTGGAGGACACAGCCGCAGGCCCCCCAGGCAGAGGTGGCTCAGAAGGGAGTGGATGGCCCCGGTTTTGATCATCTGGGGACAAGAAGGTCCTGAGATAAAAACCCATGTTTTGGAAAACAAAACTGCCCGAGACTGAAAAGTGGCTAACCAATTCGCTATCTGGGACATCACTGCACACTGGGAGGGAAGATGGCTTCTGCCATGGTGTAGGGTCCCGGACCTAGACAAAGAGGCCTTCCTATGGCTCAGTGCTTCTGAAGCACCTTTAAATGAGGCCAAAGACCTCATGTTCATGATTAGCTGACTAGTTCCCACTCAGTGGAAAAAAAAACCCAGAACTTTTGCAAAATTTTAGGAGAGAGGGATTTCCCTCTTGTCTCTTAGTGCTACGGTTATGCATGACTCATACTTGAATTGCAGTGTGTACACAGCTTAAGGACTTAACTATTAGAATACAAGAGGCCCAAACTACTGTTGTTATAGATATGTAAAACTATACGGTATAAGGTTAAACAACCCACAACTAATTAACAGTGAAGATAAATTAACTACATTGCAAATTTAAAACAAGATTAGCAGCCCTTTAGAAAAAAAACAAAACACATGGGAGGTTGCAAAGGCAATCTAAATGACACTCTAATAAAAATCCTTCATGAAAATGACATTTCAACCATCTGAGTTTCTGCTTTAAGTTATGAACTCCAAAATGGACTAACACCCAATAATTTACAGTAGGGAGGTCTAAGCCACCAAGAAAGGTGTCAGGGCAGACCTGAAACCTGGAATGAACACGCCCCCTCTCTCAGGGTAATGAGTAAATCCTCTAAGGCCCGTTCTATCTCAGACAGACCATCCACTCATAAGGAGGTCAAAAGAAAGTTCCACACAGCACTGAGACCCAACTACCTCATTGTCCTCACCTCCATGGACAGAGCCCAGGTGAGAGCCACCCCTGCTCCTCCTCCCTCATCTCCCACAGCCTCAGCACCATTGTCTGCGCCGAGTCCACCAGGACTCAGCTCATCATGTCCTTTCCCTGTTTGTGTCAGTGACACTGGGTCCCCCACATACTCTGCACTCACATCCCCACAAGGCTCTGCACACCACTATTCTGGCTCCCCAACCTCCCGAACCACAGAAATCTTCCCAGTGCACCCCCTGGAATCTCAGTCAATGATCAACAAAACCTCCACACCCTCTCTCAGGATGTTCCTGCACCTCCCAGCTCCAGCAGCAACCTGGTCTCCCTGAGGACATGACCCCCTCTGAAGTCCTCCCACATAGGGGAGTTTCCCCCATGGACTTGTACCCCTGGGTTCAGAGGTGAGGTGGGGACCTTGCTCCTCACTGTGGTTCTCAGAACTTTCTGCCTCCCTCCTCCCTAAAACCCCTAGGCTGTCATCAGATTAGACCCCCATTCCCCTCATTGTAGCCATTCCCTGTGGGCCCCTGGCCTTTCCTCTCAATCCTGACTCTTGTAGCTCTTGGTTCACTGTCACCCTCTCCAGCAGTCTCCTTGACTGTTGGTGACTTCAACATGTGGTGGGCTGAGTAATGGTCCCGAAAGAGGTCCAGTCTTAGTCCTTGGAACCTGTGAACAGGTTGCATTACATGGCAAAAGGGACTTTACTCATGTAACGATGATTAAGGACCTTAAAATAGGGAGATTCTCCTGGACAATCTGTGTGGCCCCATTCAAATCAAATGAGCCACTAAAAGCAGAGAACCTGCCCTGGCTGGAGTCAGATTCTGCAGAGGAGGAAGGCAGAGGAGACATAGAAGAGGGGAGGTCAGACGTTCCAAGCAGGAGGATTGGATGTGCCTTAGGCACCATGTGTGAGTAGCTGAAAGAAGATTCTAGGAGCTAAGCATGGCTCTTAACAAGGAAGTGGAAACCTCTGTTCTATGTGCAAGGAAGTGAATTCAGACAAGAACCTGAATGAGCTTGGAAATGGATTCTTCCCCAGAGTCTCCAGGAGGGAACACAGACCTGCCCATACCTTGATCTTAGCCCCATAAGACTGTGTGGACTTGCAACCTACAGGACTGTAACATGATAATTAGGTGCTGTTTAAAGCCACTTGGTTTGTGGTAATTCTTATGGCAGCAATAGACACCTATACAGCAGAGAAGATGCCCTTGCTCCCTGGACTCTCAGATCCTGGAACTCCTCTCCTCCATGACCTTCTCCTCTCTCTGCCTGAATCTCATGCCCCTGTCATCCCCTAGGCCTCATCATGCCCAAGAACCCCAGCCCTTCCATACTCTCAATTTCACACTTCCCACTCTCTGGCCATCTTTCCACTCATCCCATGCAAGGTGGCCACAGGCTCTGAGGACACAGACTCTATCATTTTATCATATGCTGTGAGGTAATATCAGTGACTACTCATTGCATATGTGCCTGCATTCCAGGCTTGAAGTCCACCCTTTAGCACATCAATTCCAACAATCCTTCGACCCCCACCCTGGGAATACCAATCCAGTGATTCCACCATCTACTCACTGTCCCTCATCGTTGATGTCTTCTCTAACTTCATGACCCAAACCACATGGGGAGCCCCCACCAGGGCCAGCAATCACCCTCTCCCTGCATGGCTTACCCTCAGCCTCCTCCTGGCCTGGGTGACCCTTACACACCTTCTCTCTGTGCTCACACATCCAACCCTCCTTCCCCATTCTTATCTCAGCTGACAACCTTGGTTCCTACCTCACTGAGAAAACTGAACACATTAGAAGACAGATTCCATCACCATCTGCTCATGCATTTGCAGCTGCAACACATGTCAGGTGTTTTACCATGTTGGGGACTGTTGTGGGTAAACCATTCTGCTCCCATCAGAGCCAGTCCCTCTTCTGGTGCCCAAAATGTCATCCCTTATCATCTACTTAAAGGTGTCAGTTCATCAATTAATACCTTTTTTTCTCTTTATCATCAACCTTTTTCCTCTCTCCCCACTGGATCATTGTGGCAGTCATGAGAATGCACATCCCAGCCCCTCAGCTAGAGTAAGCAGAATTGATAGTGGCCTCAACTTTTGAATCCTGAAACCTATTGCCACATTTGCTCTGAGACCACACCTGCCCCCTGTCTTTTCCTGCCAATGACTGAGGAAAGCAGGGCAGAAACTAAGGCAGGAACATTTCTTCTCTGAAGGCTGACTGAAGCTCTAGGGCTTCCTGCCACGCTTACTGAACTTCTGTTAGCCTGCACAGGGTCTAGGATGCTTCCAGCTGACCTTCCTGCACTGTTTACCTCACTGGGGCTCAGAGTTGCTTTGTGGTCTGATGACATTCCCAGCATTTTCCGTCTGTGTCCTGAATTTCTCTCATAACTATTTCCTCTAATAAATCCTTGCACATTGAATACTGTATTGGGGTCCGCTCCTCAGGGGACCCTAACTAACACAAGTAGTATGAAGGGTGATCCATGAAAACAGGCAAAAATGAGAATTTGAAAAAAGCTTGCCCACTGCCTGGCAGGCCAAGAGGATGCCACCAGGGTTGTGGGAGACACAGAAATTCCATAGCACAAGATGCAGCCGAGCTGCTATGGGTCTCACCAGTGCTGAGCTGAGAGGATGCCCTGGTTAGGGGAAGCTATGGCAGGTGGGGTGATAGAATGCCCTGCACAATAATGACGGGGTTAGGGGGAAACCTACAAAGACAGTGGAGTTGGCTGGTTACTGCTCAGCTGCAATGATGCCCTGTGAAAGTATCATGAGAATCTGCAGATTGTTAACAGCTGTCACTGGCTACATGTGACAGCCTCTGCAGTGTCTCATGCACAGGTCTTTATCTCTTGTAGCGAAAGGGCAGATACCGTGGAATGGTAGCTGAAGACATCACTATGAGGGCCACAGTGCTCCAGAGAGGTTTGCCACTCAGCCAAGGCAGGCCTGTTACAGGAAAGTCAGGACCCTGGTGGGGAAACCTGAGATTCTGCAAACAGGAACAGGGTTATCCGATGGGTGCCCTCCAGGATCCTCTGGGCATGCATAGGAGGCTCACCCTTCTCTAGTAATGGTTCCCACTTCCTATGCTGGAAGATGCTACAGAAGTCTCACCCCCATGATACAGCAGGAATCCCACTGAAGAGCTTTGCAGGAACTAGCTGGCACGTCCCCATAGGAGGCCGAGGAGCACTTCTGGGATTGGAATTTGAGGGTGTTTGATCAAGGAACCAGAATTTCAAGCTGGAAGAATAAAAATCCTTTGGCTTGGAGGCACTTTCTCAAGGCATGGGTTTATCAAACACCCCAGGACTTTGATAAGGGGGGGGCCAAACCCACCGCTGGGGTGAATCCATATAGACTAGAAAAAATGATGCCTAACTCTCAACAAGGTAGACGTGACTTAGTTGCCCTGGAACTTGCACAGGATGGAATAACAAGGCTGAGGGAAGTGGGCATGGTGAAGGCCCACCAGTACCATGCTCCACAAGACGGTCCAAAGGAAACACCTTCCACCAGAGCCTCAGAAACGTGATGGTGAGAGGGACCTGCATCATTAAGAAATGTCGGGGTGTTGTCCTCTGCAGGCTGGATGTGATGGTAGTAAAGATGACCCAGAGTTGCATTTATTAATATCCCTGGGGAGAGTGTGGCCCTGAAGAGACAAAGACCAAATGGTGGCAGTGACCTGAAAAAGCCAGAGGGCAGAGTTACTATGGCAAACTAAAAGGAGTAGCCAATAGGACTCAAGCTGCAGGGAATGTGGGGAAGGATAGTAGAGGGTGGTGTCCCAGGATTAGGACAGGAAGCCAACAAGGGCGCTGCTTGATATCTATGATAAGAAAGCAAGAATTGAGAAGCAGGAGGGTGAAGGTGTTTGACCCAATACAAAGTCATGATCCCATCCTCAATGCCTAGACCTCAGCCAAAGTTCAGATTCAGATCCCAGTGACAGAGGAGGAGTCCATATCCCTAGGAGGAATACCCTGCAACTCCGTGGAAGTAAATGCTGGCACAAGTCCCTCAGTCCTTCAGCAAAGGAACCTATAGCCATTTACTCAGGAGATTGTACACTGGCGAAAGGAAAGATGCAGAACTGGTCAGATTATTGACACTGAGTGAGAGCTGACATTGATGCCCAGATGCCCACAGCACTATCATGTCTCCCATCACAGTGGGGCTTACGGAGGTCAGGGAGTAAACCTGGACACATTACGGCCCACAATGGAACTACTGGATCCATAGACCCAGCCCTGGTTATCTTCCAATTCCCTGAGTGCATAATTAACACTGATGCACTGTTAAGTGGAGTCACCCCCACACTGGGTCCCTAGTCTGTGGAGTCAGGACTCTCATTGTGCTGAAAGCCAAAGGGAAACCTCTGACGCTGCCCACATCCTGGCAAAAAAAAAAAAAAAAAAAAATCATAGTGTGTCCCAGGGTGTGTCTTGAGGAAGACACTGAAAGTAATGTGGGGGTCACACCACCATTAGAGAGCTGAAGGATGTGGGATGGTGTTGGGGTTGTCTATTGTCTCTACATAATCCAGCAACCTGTCCCTGAGGAAGCCTGATGAGGACTAAAGAATGAATGAGATTACTCCAGGCCTGGCCAAGCAGGAATTATAATTGCAGCTTTTATGTTGTCTGGATATCACTGCAGAGCAGAATAATAAAGCCTCGGGCACACAGCGTGCAGCTATGGATTTGGTGAGTGCATTTCTTTCCACTCCAATTAGAAAGGGGATATGGAGCGATTCACATCCATGTGGGATCCACAACACATTTATTTATAGTTTTTTCTCAGGGCTATTGTAACTCCCCTGCCCTATATAGTATGGTCTAAAGACAATACTAGACATACTGGATATTCTATAGGATATTAAATCAGCTCATTTCACTGACAACTTCATGTTGACTGCGGTGAATGAGCAGCAGGTAGAAAGTGCACTGGAGTCATTGGCAAAACACACGCACTCCAGTATGTGAAGATAAACCTTACAGAGCTTCAAGAGTGGCCACTGAAGTGAAGTTTTATGGGTTAACAAGTGCCAAGTGTTTAGGGGAATGCAGGTGTGTTCCCCCCAAGGTAAAAGACAAACTGTTTCATCTTGCATCCTCACCAGAAGGAAGGAAGCACACTGCCTGATGAGCCTCTTTGAGTTCTGACAACACCACATTCCACATCTAGGTACGTGCTTTGGCAAACACTCTAGGTGACATAGGAGGAGGCCAGCTTCAAGTAGGGCCTACACAGGAAAGGACCCTGCAGCAGATCCAGGCCATGGTGCAAGCAGCCAGCGTCCCTCAGACCCCCTGGGGCTGGTGGTGCCAGTGGTGGGGAAAGATGCAGGATGGAGCAGAACCAAGCACCAGTGGGAGAGTCACAGTGAAGGGCCTGGGATTCTGGAGTAAGATCATGTCATCCACAGCAGAGACATATGCCCCCTGTTAGAAGCAACTTTTAGTGTTCCTTGTACTGATTTGATAGAAAGCTTGACCACAGGACACCAGGCAACTATGTGGTTCCAAGTGCCTTTGTGACCCACAACATCATAAATTGCACAGGCCCAACAGCATTCATCATGAAGTGAAAATGGTCCACCTGGATTGAGCTTGAATCCCACGTTTACACCCACAGAAAACACCCAAGTCTGATGTGGCACTGAACAACCAAACAGACAAATGGCAGTTAGCCAGCCTTCACCATGGGTCAGCCCAGGCCTGGTAGGATGAGTGCATGAATGGAGCAACCACAGTGGCAGGCATGAGTGCCAGCAGCACTGACTTCCCCCTACCAAGGCAGATCCAGCTGCTGCCACCTCTGAATGTCCAACTCATCAGCATTTTAGGCCCATGATATGCCCTAGTGGGGCACTATTTCTTTAGGTGACTAGTCATTAACTAAGAAGTTGACTACATTTACCTACTTCCATCCTGGAAGGACCAGAGGTTCATCTTCACAGGGTTAGGTACCTATTCTAGGGGGGGTTTTCTGTCCTGCTCTCAGACACAGCCAGTACCACTCTCTAGGTGCTGTTGACATTCCTGGTCTGCAGGCTAGGCAGTGCTCCTAGCCCATTATCTGCCTGAAGGATCCACTTGGCAAGGGAAAGATTCAGTGTTTCCATGGCTGTTGCTTCCACTAACCCTATCACCAGCTACTCTCCCCAGGGGCTGCCAGCCACAAGGAATGCCCCATATGTAGCCTCACACCTGCCACTGTGGTTGTTCCATTCATGTGCCCATCCTATCATGCATGGGCTGACCCATAGTGAAGGCTGGCTAGCTTCCATTTGTCTGTTTCGTTGTTTAATGACACTTCAGACTTGGCTGTTTTCTGTGGGTGTCAACATGGGATTCAAGCTCAACCCAGGTGGATCATTTTCACCTCATGATGAATGCTGTTTGGCCTGTGCAATCTATGACTTTCTGGGTCACACAGGCACTTGGAACCACATAGTTGCTTGGAGTCCCGTGATCTTCCACAGGCACAACTAAGTGCCAGCCTGGAGGAAGCACTCTGAGGGTTGCGTGCCATCTTTCAGGACATGGTGCGTTGTTTAAATCAGAGTCGTCTCTACAGTTCTGTGTTCGCAAGAGGAAGAACATGTGGGTCCAGAAATCAAACGGTGGAAGCAGGTATGGCTCCATGTCTAATCTCTTAGATTCACCTAATGGGGTATTTGACATGTTTTATCTCAGAACACTGGGCTGTGCAGGGTACGAGGTCCTGGTTTGCAAAGGAGGGTACCCTTAAAAGCAGACAAAAGACAGCCCACTGAACTACACATTAAGTTTGTCACCAGAGAAGTGTGGACAGTATATGCCCAGAGACCACCTGGTGAGAAGAGGAGTCTCCTCCTCTCCAGGCCCAGGTAATAGATCCTCATCCCCAGGAGGAGGCATGGCTACTTTCACACAATAAAGGCAGAAGTGTGGAAACCAGAGATCCACCTGGGGGCCTTCTGTTTTCCCTCACCCCATTGCAAGTGAGAGTAGAATTATCCAGCAATTCAGCCTGAGAGGATTTGATTTCCAAGGGCCCAGACCCATCAGGGCAGAAGGTTTGAGTCACACTCCTGGGTAATCCTCCAAGGCCGTGCTCCTGTGCTCTGACATCCTCAGTGGCATTGGTGCTGAGGCCCTGCTTCCCATGGACTATTCCCAACCAGTGATGGGTCACACCAGTGACACTAAGGCAGGACATTCCTGGAAGACAGGGGACTCCTCTGATGGCCAGCTGTGGCTGGAGGACTCCTCCATAGCCTTGCTCAACTCTCCTTAGATTGCCTGTGGTCTAGGACATGTTAAGTAATCCTTCCTTCCTTCTTTCCATCACTGGGGGTCACACTTGCATCTTATTCTATTGCCTTTCCCAGGGTAACCTACCTCCCTCACCATATCGTCTGACAGGTGTGTCCCCTAATAAAATGCTGTAACTTTAATCCTATGATGGCACTTGCTTTTTGGAGCATTTGGACTACAAAATCATTTTCGTCTGCACACCAGTGACCTCTTACTTATTCCAACGTGTAAAATCTTTTTGTTTATTCAACTTCTTCTACCTGCATTGGCTCCATTTTGCTGGTATTTGTATTATGTTTTTGAGTTCACCAATGTTTGTTGCTGTAAGTCACTAAATTTGGGGGTAGTGTTTTACACAGCAACAGATAACTAATGAAGCCTTCTTACATTTCCGTTATTCGATAGAGGTTAACTACGTCTATTTTATTTCCTCCTATTTTGATAATATTAGCCATACAGAGGGTTTCCAGTTCCCAACGCCTATTCTTTTCTTTATTTTAGTTTCTTTTCTCCTTTGTTCCTTCTTTTTCTCTTTCCTTCTGTCCCTCCTTCCCTCTTTAATTCCATTCAATCTCTCGCCCTCCTTCTCCCTTCCTCCTTTCCGTCCTTTTTCTTCCCCTTCCCCTTCCTTCTTTTCTTCTTTCACTCCTTCCTCAATTCCTCCTTCTTTCTCTCCCTTCCTCCATTTTTTCCTTTTTATTATGAAATTTTCCTAACATATTAAATAACCCCTACGTGATTGTGTTATCAGTAAGCATTTTCTGAATCTATATGTCAAAAGTATAATACCATGGTATATGAGAAACAAGTAAACAACAGGAAGTTATTAACAGAGTCTGAATAAAAATGCCTGCTATAATTCTGCAGCCAAGACAGTGGCTTTTAACTCAATTCCTTCAACTAGGTGTTTTCAGAACACATGAGTTTAAGTTGACACAATCACCTTGGAAATCATATTATCATTATCTAGTATGGTTAAAGTCCATACAACATATCGTCCAACCCTCCCACTCCTAACCATACACTCTAGCGGGCTTTCTTGCCTATGTGCCCAGGAGACAGGCACACTGATGTTTATGGCAAAAACTGGAATCAGCCACATATACATCAATAGGAAATATACATCAATAGGAAATTGTGGCATAAAATGTAAACCTTCAGCAGTGAAAATGAATGAATGACAGCCTCCCACACCACAGATAACTCCTGTACGTAATGTGCATCATGGGAAAATAAATGCAGTAGGAATTTTCTGTACAGGAAGCTTAAAAACCAGCAAAAGTAAATAATTTTTTTTCAGATATATATATGTACATATATATATATACTTATTGTGCAAATCTTTAAAGAAATACAAAGGAATAAGGATCACAAGACTCAGGATGGAGTCTGTCTCTGGGGGATGTGACTGGGCAGCAGCCCAGGGAAGCTTTACAGGTTTGTGTTTTACACCAGTGCTGGGCATCTTTTTAGTTACATGATTGTAATTTGTTAAACAGAGTTTTCAAATTAAAATATACCTGGTATTTATAAAAATGAAAGAGAAAAGAATACCAAAGTTCATTGCAAGGATCCTTAACAAGAACTACTTACATTGAAAGAAAACCACAGAGAAATGTAAGCAGCCATGTGACAGAGAGGACCAGGATGTGATGAAAATGGTCTTGGTTAATAATAGGTCATTTGATCCTTAGCTCACTGGCATCTCTCTGGATTTTCAAGTATACAATGTTCAATCTGATGTGCAAGGTAATTCCTTCTTGCAAAGGATTTGGTGTTACATTTTACCACACATACAACTGAATTAAACTTTCACAGAATTGGAAATACACATCACTGATCAAAATAAATGAAACAAGAAAAGAGTAGAAAGGAACAACCAGTGATGGAATAGCAAATATGAATGGAAAGCAAAATAAGACAGCTAAAAAAAAAAAAAAAAAAGAAAGCTTCAGAAGCACATAATAGCAGTGCTATTTAGAACTGTAGTAGTGTCCAAATCACTTCTACCACATCTCATGCAATACCACACCCAAAAATGTTAAGTTTACAATAGAATGCCCCTGAGCCGTTTTTGGAAAAAATTTGATTCTCAATTCGAGTTAAGCATTTTGGGCTACTGCATCAAACCAAAGTTACTGGCATTATGCTAAGCTAGATGTGTTGACTGAAGTATGAGATTCCCATTTTTGTAAATGAGAAGCAATCTGATTATGCAATTTTTTCTAAGTGAAAGCAAGTTTATTAGAGAAGTAAAGAAACAAAAGAATGGCTACTCCATAGACAGAGCAGTGTGTGTGTATTTTTTTTTTAAGTGTAGGCAAATGTTTTCTGAAGATGATATGTCAATAAGAAAATTGGCACTTGGGGCATACTTCCACTAAATTTGAGACATCTTAGACAAAACAAAGACTTATTTTCAAGGCATCATTCTTATGGCACTGAAGTCTTGGAACTATTTGATCTAGTTACTCTATGTTCTCAACTGTGTTAACTTATTGAAGAACATTGTTATTAAAGGTATTTACAAGAGAAACGCAGAGATACTGTTGTTTCTCCTTTCTCTGTCTCAAACTGTTTTCCCTGCAGCACCCAAGGCTCTGTCATGTCTCAAACATTTAATCATTAATTTAAAAAGAGAAGCTTATCACAGAATTAGAAAAAAAAATTTGAAAATTCATATGGATCCAAAAAAGAGGTTGTGTAGCCAGGAGAATGCTAAGCAAAAAGAATAAAGCTGGAGGCATCAGGCTATCCTACTTAAAACTATACTATAAGGCTAAAGTAACCAAAACAGCATGGTACTGGTAGAAAAACAAGCATATAGACCAACAGAACAGAATAGAAAACTCAGAAATAAGACCTCACATCTACAACCATGTGATCTTCAACAAACCTGACAAAAACAAGCAATGGGGAAAGGAAACGCTATTTAATAAATGGTGCTGGGAAAACTGGCTAGCCATATGCAGAAAATTGAAACTGGACCCCTTCTTTACACCTTACACAAAAATTAACTCAAGATGGATTAAAGACTTAAATGTAAAACCCAAAACTAGAAAAACCCTGAAAGAAAATCTAGGCAATACCATTCAGGACATAGGCATGGGCAAAGATTTTATGATGAAATTGCCAAAAGCAACTGCCACAGAAGCAAAAATTGACAAATGGGATCTAATTAAACAAAAGAGCTTCTGCACAGGAAAAGAAACTATCATCAGAGCGAAAAGGAGACAACCTACAGAATGGGAGAAAATTTATGCAATCTATTGATCTGACAAAGGTCTAATATTCATAATCTAAAAAGAACTTAAGCAAATTTACATGAAAAAAACAACTTCATTAAGAAGTGGACAAAGCACATGAACAGACACTTCTCAAAAGAAGACATACAGGTGGCCAAAAAACATATTTTAAAAAGCTCAATATCACTGATCGTTAGAGAAATGCAAATCAAAACCACAATAAGATACCATCTCATGCCAGTCAGAATGGCAATTATTAAAAAGTTAAGAAACAACAGATTCTGGCGAGGTTGTAAAGAAATAGGAATGCTTTTACACTGTTGGTGGAAATGTAAATTGGTTCAACCAATGAGGAAGGCAGTGTGGTGATTCCTCAAAGATTTAGAACCAGAAATACCATTTGACCCAGCAATCCCATTGCAGGGTATATACCCAAAGGAATATAAATCATTCTATTATAAAGATATGTGCATGTGTTTGTTCATTGCAGCACAATTCACAACAGCAAAGACATGGAATCAACCCAAATGCCCACCAATGAGGGACTAGATAAAGAAAATATGATACATATATGCCATGGAATATTATGCAGCCATAAAAAGGAATGAGATCAAATCCTTTGCAGGGATATGGATGAAGCTGGAAGCCATTATCCTCAGCAAACTAACACAGGAACAGAAAACCAAACACCGCATGTTCTCACTTATACTTGTGAGCTGAACAATGAGAACACATGGACACAGGGAGAGGAACAACACACACTGCGGCCTGTTGGGGGAGGGCGGTGGTGGTGGGAGCATTAGGAAAAATGGCTAATGCATGCAGGGGTTAATACCTAGGTTATGGGTTGATTGGTGCAGCAAACTGCCGTGGAACCCGTTTACCTGTGTAACAAACCTGCACATCCTGCATATGTACCCTGGAACTTAAAATTAAACTAAATTAAATTAAAGGACAAGATTAAAATGTTAAGGAAAAATAATTAGATTAAAAGCCTTTAACTTAAAAATCCTGAAACAATAGTTTGAATTTTGCTTTTAACATATATGCAAATCCTTTAATACTGCTCCCTTCCAGAGGTGCAGCCTAATTCCCTCTCTTGAGTGTGGCTTGGACTTAATGATGCACTTCTGATATGGCCTGGTTCTGTGTTCCCACCCAAATCTCATCTCCAATTGTCATGCGAATTGTAATCCCCAGTATTGAAGGAGGGACCTCATGGGAGGTGATTGGATCATGCTGTTCTAATGATAGTGAGTGAATTCTCATGAGATCTGATGGTTTTACAAGGGGCTTTTCCCCGCTTCCCTCTGCATTTCTCTCTCCTGCCACCATGTGAAGAAGGACAGGTTTTCTTCCACTTCTGCCATGATTGTAAGTTTCCTGGGGCGGCCTCCTCAGCCATGCAGAACTGGGAGTCAGTTAAACCTCTTTCCTTTATAAATTACCCAGTCTCAGGTATTTCTTTATAGCAGTGTGAGAACAGACTAATACAACTTCTAACTGATAGAGCAATGCCGACGTAACAGCTTGTGACTCTGGGTGTAGAACCTAAAACTCCCTGTGGCTTCCACCTTCTCTCTCTCTGTCTCTGGGATCATGAGCTCTGGGGAAAGTCAGCTGCTGTGCCATGAGCAGCCCTGCAGGAAGGTCCATCTGGCTAAGAACTGAGGCCTTCTGGGACTCAATTACAACGAACTAGGCCTTTTCCAACAGCCATGTGACTGATCCATGTTTCATGTGAATCCTCAGCCCCAGTGAAGCCCTCAGATGATGCAGGCCTAGACTGACAACTGGACTGCAACCTTGTGAGAGGCCCTTAGCAAGAAGCACTCAGGGAAACTTCTCCTGGATTCCTGACAATTGGAAACTGTGGGAGATGATCAATATTTGTTGTTTTGAAATGGTACATTTTACATAATTTGTTATGCAATAGTAAATAACTAATACATTTTCACAAGACAGGATGTATTATTACATGTTAATTTGCATTTGCTCTAAATTTATCATCATCATTATTATTATTTTTGAGACAGGGTCTCACTCTGTCACCCAGGCTGGAGTGCAGTGGCATGATCACCATGCACTGCAGTGTAGACCTCCTGGGCTCAAGGGACCCTCTGACCTCAGCCTCTTGAGTAGCTGGGAGTACAATCATGAACCACCATGCCTGGCTAATTTTCTAATTTTTTGTAGAGATGGGGGTTTCACCATGTTGCCCAGGCTGATCTTGAACTTCTGGAGTCAACAAATCTGCCTTCCTCTGCCTTCCACAATGCTAGGATTGCAGGTGCGAGCCACCAAATCTGGCCTAAATTAATTAAAAGATATAAATATGTAACTTAGTTTTAAAAGGTAAGGAGAATTTCCGTGGCTGAAAAGGATGTATTTTATTACCGTTCACAATGATTACTTTACTTGAACTTCAATTTGCAACTGTGTCCCAAGTGAACACAAAAAGAAGACCCAGCCCTTGCTAGGCTGATTCTATGATGGCCTCAACAACAAGCTCCTGGTCATTCACCTTCCCCCCATTATTCAACCAACTCTAATATAGGTGCTGCTGTGAAGGGATTTAGCAGATATAATTAAGGGCCTCAATTAGTTGACTTTAGGCTGGGTTTATGCTGCTTGGACTGTCCTAATCAGGTGAGTCCTTGAAAGGACTGGGTTCTTCCTGAGCATAGAGATTCACAGTGTGAGAGGGATTCAGCATGAGGGGTTTCCTCCACTGTGGGCTTTGAAAATGAAGGGGCTGTACAGGGAAGAACGCTGGTGGGCATCAGGAATTGAGCGCAGCCCTCCCTGTTCTCTACATTGACAGCCAGCAAGGAACGCGGACCTCAGTCTTACAACTGCAAGAAACTGCATTCTGCCACCTCTGTATAAGCCTGAAGGAGGATTCAAAATGAAAACACAGCTTTGGGAATCCCGGAACAGAGATTCCATCCACATCATGCCCAGATTTCTGACTAAGGTACTATAAACAGATAAATGGGTGTTGTTTGGCCAGGCGTGGTAATGCACACCTGCAATCCTAACATCTGAGGAGTTGACACAGGAGGATCACTTGCATCCAGGAGTTTGAGACCAGCCAAGATCAAACAGTGAGACACTCATCTCTACAATTTCTTTTTAATTAGCTGGGAGTGGTGGCACTTGCCTGCAGTCCTAGCTACTCTGAAGACTGAGGCAGGAAGATCCCTTGAGCCCAGGAGTTTGAGGCTGCAGTGAGCCATGATCATGTGACTGCACTTCACCCTGGATGACAGAGGGAGACTCTGTCTCTAAAAACAAATAAATCAACAATAATTGGGTGTTGTTTAAAGTCAATGTTTGTGATAATTTGTTATGCAATCTTATAAAATTCATACACAGGCTCAACAGACTCGGATGAATTGATATGCACACTAGTTACATAAGATAAAATATTTCTTAATTTTTCAGTGTTTTACATTTTATAACTTTCTGTGATGCAATTTAATACATTCATATTTCATTCATTCAGTCAACAAAAATTAATTTAGTGCCTAAGATGAACCAGGTATGCCCTCATATGCTCACGTGCCTGACATTCTAGAAGCTTCACAAGACCGAGGTGGAGCCACTGGAGTGTTTTAGGTGAGGAAATGACACACTCTGACTCACAGGAGCAGGACCACTGTGGAGAGAACAGTCACATAGCAGGTAATGGGACAATGCTAGAGCCACAATTTAGAAGTGACAGGGTGGTGGGGACTAAGGGGAGAGGAGGGCCTGAGGGGTGAAAGGGACAGAGGGAAGGGCTGGAGAAGCAGGAGGTTAGGAAAAGGAGCAGAGGGAAGGAATTGGAAAGCAGTAGAATTCTTAGGTTTAAACACATTGTTTTATAGATTTTTATTACATCCATCTACAGAGCCTCGCTCAGTGTTCTTTGCAGTTGGCCTTTAATACCTAATGTAGGACTGCCTAAAAACTAATGTTTTTTTATGTTAATAAGGTTTAAAAAATACTTAGTGTTCCTTCTTTGCAGTTGGCCTTTAATACTATATTTGGGACTGCCTAGAAACTAATTTTTTTTAATTAATCAGGTTTTAAAAATACTAAGTATTCCTATAAGATATACACACCACTTAGACGTGAATACTTCCTAAAAACAGGCAGCACATGAGCACTGCTGAGGGGCATTGTGACTGCATTGAACACTTGCAACTGTGAGGTGAATAAAGTCTGTACTGGCTCCCGGTTGCAACATATAGTAACGCAGTGTGCTACTTTATATTGAGGAGATGTCTTGGACTCACCCAGTAACTCAGGGCTGTGGAATGAAGGTAAATGTAAAAAACAAGCGGGAGTCACAGATACATTGTCTGGGAAAGTCAAACTTAGTAGCTTTGTGAGTCCTGTTGTAATGCTTTCAGACACATTTATAGATCAAGGGGCCAAAGTTACATTTTTTACCGATTAGATTCCTGATCATTTAGGGGTTGCCAAGATTCTGCTACCCACTGTAGTTAATAAAGAGAAAACTTGTCTCTATGCTGTCTCATGTACTCAGGCACAACTTTTCCGGATTTAAAGAAAAAAAAAACAAAAACCTGTCTCTACGCCTCCATTCCCAGGGCGAGCTCCCTCTCTGGCGGCGAGCTCCCTCTCTGTCACCAAGCTCCCTGGGGTGAGTTTTTTTCTAGAAGAGTTCAGGGAAATAGGTAAGGAGTGGGAGGCAGGGAGTCCAGTTCTGGGACGGGGATTCCGGGATGAAAAATGAAGAGGGACGGGGCCCATGACGAGGGTTTCTCCCTGGTTTCTCAGACAGCTCTTGGGCCAAGACTCAGGGAGACATTGAGACTGAGCGCTTGGCACAGGAGGAGCGGGGTCAGGGCGAAGCCCTATGGCCCCAGGCGTGGCTTTCAGGGTTTCAGGCCCCGAAGGCGTTGTATTGATTGGGGAGGCCCAGGGTTGGGGATTCCCCATCTCCGCAGTTTCTCTTCTCCCTCTCCCAACTTATGTAGGGTCCTTCTTCCTGGACACTCAGGATGTGGACTCAGTTCTCACTCCCATTTGGTGTCGGGTTTCTAGCGAAGCCAATCGGCGTCGCTGGGGTCCCTGTTCCAGAAGTCCCCGCGAACCCATTGGGATTCAGATTCTCCCCAGACGCCGAGGATGGGGTCATGGCGTCCCGAACCCTCCTCCTGCTGCTCTTGGGGGCCCTGGCCCTGACCGAGACCTGGGCGGGTGAGTGCGGGATCCGGAGGGAAATGGCCTCTGCGGGGAGGAGCTAGGGGCCCGCGCACTGGGGCGCAGGACCCGGGGAGCCGCTCAAGGAGGAGGGTCGGACGGGTCTCAGCCCCTCCTCGCCCCCAGGTACCCACTCCATAAGGTATTTCAGCACCGCCGTGTCCCGGCCGGGTCGCGGGGAGCCCCGGTACATCGCAGTGGGCTACGTGGACGACACGCAGTTCGTGCGGTTCGACAGCGACGCGGCGACTCCGAGGATGTAGCCGCAGGCGCAGTGGTTGGAGCAGGATGGACCGGAGTATTGGGACCGGAGCACACGGAACATCAGGCCCGCGCACAGACTGACAAGAGTGAACCTGCCCATGCCGCGCCGCTACTACCACCAGAGCTAGGCCGGTGAATGACCCCGGCCTGGGGCGAAGGTCACGACCCCTCCTCATCCCCCACGGACGTCCCGGGTCCCCCCCGCGAGTCTCCGGCTCCGAGATCCACCCCGAGGCTGCGGGACCCGCCAGATCCTCGACCCGGGAGAGGCCCAGGCGCCTTTACCAGATTTCATTTTCAGTTTAGGCCAAAATCCCCGCGGGTTGGTCGGGGCGGGGGCGGGGCTCGGTGGGCGGGGCTGACAGCGGGGGCGGGGCCAGGGTCTAACACCCTCCAGATAATGTATGGCTGCGACTTGGGGCTGGAAGGGCGCCTCCTCCGCGGGTATGAACAGCACCCCAACGATGGCAAGGATTACATAGCCCGGAACTAGGACCTGCGCTCCTGGACCGCGGCGGACATGGAGGCTCAGATCACCAAGCGCAAGTGGGAGGCAGAAGAATTTGCAGAGCAGATCAGGGCCTACCTGGAGGGCACGTGCGTGGAGAGGCTCGCAGACACCTGGAGAACGGGAAGGAGATGCTGCAGCTCACGGGTACCAGGGAACACAAGACGTCTCCCTGATCGCCTGTAGATCTCCTGGGCTGGCTTCCCACAAAGAGAGAAGGAAAATGGGACCAACACTAGAATGTCGTCCTCTCTCTGGTCCTGAGGGAGAGGAATCCTCCTGGGTTTCCAGATCCTGTACAAGAGAGTGACTCTGAGGGTCTGCCCTGCTCTCTGATACAATTAAGGGATGAAATCTCTGAGGAAATGAAGGGAAGACAATCCCTGAAATACTGATGAGGGGTTCCCTTTGACACTGGCAGCAGCCTTGGGCCCCGTTACTTTTCCTCTCAGGCCTTGCTCTCTGCTTTACACTCAATGTGTGTGGGGGTCTGAGTCCAGCTCTTCTGAGTCCCTCAGCCTCCACTCAGGTCAGGACCAGAAGACACTGTTCCCTCCTCAGGGACTAGAATTTTCCACGGATAGGAGATTATCCCAGGTACCTGTGTCCAGGTTGGCGTCTGGGTTCTGTGCTCCCTTCCCCACCCCAGGTGTCCTGTCCATTCTCAGGATGGCCACATGCGTGCTGCTGGAGTGTCTCATGAGAGATGCAAAGTGCCTGAATTTTCTGACTCTTCCTGTTAGACCCCCCCACCAAGACACATATGATCCACCATTCCATCTCTGACTATAAGGCCACCCTGAGGTGCTGGGCCCTGGGCTTCTACCCTGTGGAGATCACACTGACCTGGCAGCAGGATGGAGAGGACCAGACTCGGGACATGGAGCTTGTAGAGACCAGGCCTGCAGGGGATGGAAACTTCCAGAAGTGGGCAGCTGTGGTGGTGCCTTCTGGAGAGGAACAGAGATACATGTGCCATGTGCAGCATGAGGGGTTGCCCAAGCCCCTCACCCTGAGATGGAGTTAGGTAGGAGATGAGTGGAGGGGGGGTCATGTCTCTTAGGGAAAGCAGGAGCCTCTCTGGAGAACTTCAGCAGGGTCGGTGCTGGGGGCTGAGGGTCAGGGACGCTCACCTTCCCCTTTTTTCCCAGAGCAGTCTTCTCAGCCCACCATCCCCATCGTGGGTATCGTTGCTGGCCTGGTTCTCCTTGGAGCTGTAGTCACTGGAGCTGTGGTTTCTGCTGTGATGTGCAGGAAGAAGAACTCAGGTAAGGAATGGATGAGGAGTGGGGTCTGAGATTTCTTGTCCCACTGAGGGTTTCAAGCCCCAGTTAGAAGTGTGTCCTGCCTGGTTACTGGGAAGCACCATCCACACTCATGGGCCTACCCAGCCTGGGCCCTGTGTGCCAGCACTTACTCTTTTGTAAAGCACCTGTGACAATGAAGGACAGATTTATCACCTTGATGATTATGATGATGGGGACCTGATCCCAGCAGTCACAAGTCACAGGGGAAGGTCCCTGCTGAGGACAGACCTCAGGAGGGCAGTTGGTTCAGGACCCACACCTGCTTTCCTCATGTTTCCTGATCCTGTCCTAGATCAGCAGTTACACTTTCAGGAAACTTCTCTAGGATCAAAGGCTATAGGGGGTTTGTTTAGGGCCGTATGGCCCTGACTCCTTTCTGGCCTCTTATAGGACATTTTCTTCCCACAGATAGAGTGAGCTACTCTGAAGCTGCAAGTAAGTATGAAGTGGGCTGATCCCTGAGATCTTTGGGATATTGTGGTCGGGAGCCCATGGGGGAGCTCACCCAACCCCAGATTCCTCCTCTAGCCGCATCTCCTGTGGGCTCTGACCAAGTCCTGTTTTTGTTCTACCCCAGGCAGTGACCATGCGCAGGGTTCTGATGTGTCTCTCATGGCTTGTAAAGGTGAGAAGCTGGGGGACCTGATGTGTGGGGGGTGTTGGGGGCAATAGTGGATGCAGCTGTGCTATGGGGTTTCTTTGAATTGGATGTATTGAACATGTGATGGGCTGTTTAAAGTGTCATCCCTCACTGTGACGGATATGAATTTGTTCATGAATATTTTATTTTATAGTGTGAGACAGCTGCCTTGTGTGGGACTGAGAGGCAAGATTTGTTCACGCCTTCCCTTTGTGACTTCAAAAACCCTGACTCTCTTTCTGCAAAGGCACCTGAATGTGCCTGTGTTCCTGTAGGCATAATATGAGGAGGTGGGGAGACCAACCCACCCCCATGTCCACCATGACCCTCTTCCCTCATGCTGACCTGTGTTCCGTCTCCAATAATTAATCATTCCTGCTCCATAGACGTGAGGCTGAGATGTCTCCATCTCTATCTCAACTTTATGTGCACTGAGCTGTAACTTCTTACTTCCCTATTAAAATTAGAATCTGAGTATAAATTTACTTTTTCAAATTCTTGCCATGAGAGGTTGATGGGTTAATTAAAGGAGAAGATTCCTAAAATTTGAGAGACAAAATAAATGGAAGACATGAGAACCTTCCAGAGTCCACATGTTTCTTATGCTGATTTGTTGCATGAGAGGAGAGTAGATGGGGCTGTGCCCAGTGGGTGCTCAGGCCACCGTGCGCTTTATGTGGTCACTGCTCAGCTGGGTCATCTTTGCTGCTCCGTTGTCCTTGGCTGTATGATCCAGCCCTACGGGACTTAGCGGGTTTTCTCCCCGTGTGCGGAGATGAGAGATTGTAATAAATAAAAGCACAAGACAAAGAGATAAAGAGAAAACAGCTGGGCCGGGGGGACCACTACCATCAAGATGCGGAGACCGGTAGTGGCCCCGAACAGCTGGGCTCGCTGATATTTATTGCATACAAGACAAGGGGCAGGGTAAGGAAGGTGAATCTTCTAACTGATTGACAAGGTGAAGCAAGTCACGTGATTACAGGATAGGGGGCCCTTCCCTTTTAGGTAGCATATGTCACCATTTTCTTTTCTGCACTTAAGATCAAAGACTTTAAGACTTTCACTATTTCTTCTACCATTATCTACTACGAAATTCAAAGAGGAACCAGGAGTACAGGAGGAGCATGAAAGTGGGCAAGGAGCATGACCACTGAAGCACAGCACCACAGGGAGGGGTTTAGGCCTCTGGATGACTGCGGGTAGCTCTGGATAATATCCAGCCTCTACAAGAAGCTGGTGGAGCAGAGTGTTCCCTGACTCCTCCAAGAAAGGGAGACTCCCTTTCGTGGTCTGCTAAGTAACAGGTGCCTTCCCAGACATTGGCATTGCCACTTGACCAAGGATCCCTCAAGCAGCCCTTATGCGGGCGTGACAGAAGGCTCATCTCTTGCCTTCTAGGTCACTTCTCACAATGTCCCTTCAGCACCTGACCCTATGCCTGCCAGTTATTCCTAGGTTATCTTAGTAATGCAACAAAGAGTAATATTAAAAGCTAATGATTAATAATGTTTATAATAATGATTGATAATTTTTCATGATCATCTCTATATCTAATTTGTATTATGACTATTCTTATTCTAACTATTTTCTTTATTATACTAAAACAGTTTGTGCCTTCAGTCTCTTGCCTCGGCACCTGAGTAATCCTCCGCCCACACTTGGCCCTTCAGTAGAACCTTGTCCCACCATGACCTGTGATCACAGGGACTTGGATGTCACCTATGGCAGTCCCTGCACACCAGGGTCCTTGTGGTATCAAGAGACAAATTTTCAGATCTTTCAAGCTCTTGCCCTCTTCCCAGGGCTCTTTCCTCATTGTATTTTCCATCTTTTCTGCAATCTTTTTAAAGGAACCAGATTCTGAAATTTGCCAAGAGGCAGGGTCCCATAGTTTCTCATCATAGGTAACTTTCTGTTGGAACTCCTCTTCTGCACTCCTACTCTTCTTCCTGCCCTGAGTTGTAGTAATCCTAGTGCTGGCTCCAAGAGAAACTCATCAATTTATAAAGCAGAGTCTAGTTTAGATTCATATGTGGTTGGAAAATTGGACCCATAAGCCTAGGGTTATCTTTCCTGAAGAGAAAAATATGGTTGTGTGCTGCAGTGTGCAGGAGAGTTGGTGTGGGGGGAGGGAGGGAGGGAGGGAGGACACACAAGCAGCCCTGGTGAGAAAAGCTCCAGTGGCACTGATGTCAGTGTGAGATGATGTTGTTCTGTAGCTGCCACAAAAATAAAGCATTTGTCCTGAGGCTACATTAATAAAGATATTGCCTCTAGAATAGAGTGGTTCTCTATGATCATTCCTTCAACTGACATTTGTTTCTGCTAGGTATATAACTGTTTTTGCATTTAGAAAGCATCATTAAAGTAAAAACAGAAAAATTTCGGGCCTTGTGGTGCATATGTTCTAGATGCAAGCTTGTCCAACCCGCGGCTCGTGGGCTGCATGTGGCCCAGGACAATTCTGAATGTGAGGACTTTTTTGCTTATCTGTGGTGCACCTGAGTCCCGGAGTGAGTGCACCCACCTCCCTCAGGGTCAGGAGTGAATGCTTTAGGAACCCTCCTTTTCAGTGACCTGAAAAAGATAGAGGGCACACTTACTGTGATAACCCAGAGTATCAGTCAAGGGGGCTTGACCTTCAAGGAATTATGGGAAAGCTTAATAAAGGGTGGTGTCCCAGGGTCAGAAAAGATGGGCAGACAGCAAGAGCACTGCTTGATATCTATGATAAGCATGTAAGAATTGAGGAGCAAGCTTCATATTCAGAATCCAGTGGCTGAGGAAGTATCCATATCCCTAAGAGAAAGAACCTTGGGACACCATGACTGTTACATGCTGGGACAATTCCATCAGCCCTTCTGCAAAGGAGCCTATAGCCATTTAATCAGGAGATGGGATAAGTGTTAACATTGGGTGTGAGCTAACATTGCTGCCCAGATTCCCACAGCACCATTATGTCCCTATCACAGTGGGGCTTACAGAGGCCAGGGAATAAACCTGGACAAATTATGCCCCATGGTGGAATCACTGGGTCCATAAATCCTGTCCTGGTTATCTCCCCATTCTCTGTAAAAACGATTCTCTGTAAAAAGATTACATCGCCCTAAACGAGGACCTGAGCTCTTGGACCGCGGCGGCCATGGCGGCTCAGATTACCCAGCGCAAGTGGGAGGCGGCCCATGAGGCGGAGCAGCAGAGAGCCTACCTGGAGGGCACGTGCGTGGAGTGGCTCCGCAGATACCTGGAGAACGGGAAGGAGACGCTGCAGCGCACTGGTACCAGGGGCCACGGGGCGCCTCCCTGATCGCCTGTAGATCTCCCAGGCTGGCCTCCCACAAGGAGAGGAGACAGATGGGACCAACACTAGAATATCACCCTCCCTCTGGTCCTGAGGGAGAAGAATCCTCCTGGGTTTCCAGATCCTGTACCAGAGAGTGACTCTGAGGTTCCACCCTGCTCTCTGACATAATTAAGGGATAAAATCTCTGAGGGAATGACGGGAAGACGATCCCTCATTTAGTGATCCCAAGTCACTAAATTTGGGAGTAGTTTGTTACACAGCAATGGATAACTAATGAAGCCCTCTTACATTTCCATTATTCTCTAGAGGTTAACTACATCTGTTTTATTTTCTCCTATTTTGATAATATTAGCCACACATAGGGTTTCTAGTTTCTCAACACCTATTCTTTTCTTTATTTTAGTTTCTTTTCTCCTTTGTTCCATCCTTTTTTTTTCTTTTTTCTTTTCTTTTCTTTTTTTTTTTTTTTTTTTTTTGAGACAAAGTCTCGTTCTGTCGCCCAGGCTGGAGTGGAGTGGCTCGATCTCGGCTCACTGCAAGCTCTGCCTCCCAGGTTCATGCCATTCTCCTGCCTCAGCTTTCCAAGTAGCTGGGACTACAGGCACCTGCCACCATGCCCGGCTAATTTTTTGTATTTTTAGTAGAGACAGGGTTTCACCATGTTAGCCAGGATGGTCTCTATCTCCTGACCTCGTGATCTGCCTGCCTCGGCCTCCCAAAGACTGGGATTACAGGCATGAGCCACTGTGCCTGACCTCTTCCTTCCCTTTCTCCTTCCTTCTAGCCCTCCCTCCATCTCTTTCTTCTCTATTTCCATTCAAACTATCGCCTTCCCTCCTTCTTTCTCCCTTTCCTTCCCCTCCCCTTCCTTCTTTTCTTCTTTTGCTTTTTCCTCCATTCCTCCTTCTTTCTCTCTCTTCCTCCATTTTTTCCTTTTTATTATGAAATTTTCCTAATATATAAAATAACTCTATGTGATTGGGCTGTAAGTAAGCATTTTCTGAATCTATATGTCAAAAATATAATGTCATGTATATGAGAAACAAGTAAACAACAGGAAGTTATTAACAGAGTCTGAATAAAAATGCCTGCTATAATTCTACAGCCAAGACAGTGGCTTTTAACTCAATTCCTTCAACACAGTGTTTTCAGAACACATCATCAACATCAAGTATTACACATTTATTGTAAAAGTTTAAGTAGCCACAATCACTTTGGAATTTGTATTATCATTATCTAGTATGGTTAAAGTCCATACAACGTATCATCCAACCAACCCATTCCTAATCATCCACTCTGGGGGGCTTTCTTGCCTATGTGCACAGGAGACATGCACACTAATATTTATGGCAAAAACTGGAATCAGCCACATATACATCAATAGGAAACTAGTGAAATTGTGGTATAACCATATGTAAGCCTTCAGCAGTAAAAATGAATGAATGACAGTCTCCCACACCACAGATAACTCCTACACATAATGTGCATCATGGGAAAATAAAGGCAGTAGGAACTTGCTGTACAGGAAGCTTAAAAACCAGCAAAACAAACTGATATTTGTTTTGGGGATATATATATATACACACATACATATATATATATGTATTATATATATACTTATTGCACAAATCTTTGAAGAAATACAAAGGAATAAGTATCACAAGACTCAGCATGGAGTCTTCTGCTGAGATCAGCTCGGTCAGGGAGACCCTAACCCAGCAGCGCTAGAGGAATTAAAGACACACACACAGAAATATAGAGGTGTGAAGTGGGAAATCAGGGGTCTCACAGCCTTCAGAGCTGAGCCCCAAACAGAGATTTACCCACATATTTATTACAGTCATTAGCATTGTTTCTATAAATATTAAATTAGTTAAAATATCCCTTATGGGAAACGAAGGGATGGGCCGAATTAAAGGAATAGGTTGGGCTAGTTAACTGCAGCAGGAACATGCCCTTAAGACACAGATCACTCATGCTATTGTTTGTGGCTTAAGAATGCCTTTAAGTGGTTTTCCACCCTGGGCGGGCCAGGTGTTCCTTGCCCTCATTCCTGTAAACCCACAACCTTCCAGCTTGGGTGCTAGGGCCATTATGAACATGTTATGGTGCTGCAGAAATTTTGTTTATGGCCAGTCTCGGGGCCAGTTTATGACCAGATTTTGGGGGACTTGCTCCCAACGGTCTCCTTCTGGAGGATGACTGGGTAGCAGCCCAGGGTAGTTTTACAGTTTTGTGTTTTACACCAGTGCTGGGCCCCCTGGTAGTTACTTGATTATAATTCCTTAAACAGAGTTTTCCAAATTAAAATATACCTGTTTTTTATAGAAATGAAAAAGAAAAGAATTTCAAAGTTCATTGCAAAGATTCTTAACAAGAACTACTTACATTGGAAGAAAACCACAGAGAATTGTAAGGAGCTATGTGACAGAGAGGACCAGGATGCCATGAAAACGGCCTTGGCTACATATAGGTCATTCGATCCTTGGCTCACTGGCATCTCTCTAGATTTTCAATAATACAATGTTCAATATGCTGTGCAAGGTAATTTCATCTTGCAAAGATTCGATGTTACATTTTACCACACATACAACTGAATTAAACTTTTACAGAATTGGAAATGCACATCACTGATCAAAATAAATGAAACATGAAAAGAGTAGGAAGGAATACCCAGTGATGGAATAGCAAATATGAATGGAAACAGAATAGGACTGCTAAAAAGAAAAAAAATTCAGAAGCACATAATAGCAGTGCTATTTAGAATCATAGTGGTGTCCAAATCACTTCTATCACATCTCATTCAATACCACAACAAAAGATGTTAAGTGTGTTATAGAATGCCCATCGGATAGCCAGTTTTTGAAAATAACTTGTCTCTCAATTCGAGCTAACCATTTCGGGCTACAGCATCAAGCCAAAATTATTGGCATCATGCTAAGCTAGATGTGTTAACTGAAGTATGAGATTCTCATTTTTGTAAATGAAAAGCAATCAGATTAGGCAATTTTTTTCTGCACAGCAAAAGAAACTATCATCAATCAGAGTGAACAGACATGCTACAGAATGGGAGAAAAATTTTGCCATCTGTTCATCTGACAAAAGTCTAGTATTCAGAATCCACAAAGAACTTAAGCAAATTTACATGAAAAAAAACTTCATTAAAAAGTGGACAAAGAACATGAACAGACACTTCTAAAGAAGACATACATGTGGCCAACAAAAATATGAAAAAGAAAGCTCCCATCACTGATCATTAGAGAAATGCAAATCAAAACGACAAATGAGATACCATTTTATGCCAGTCAGAATGGCAATTATTAAATAGTCAAGAAACAACAGATGCTGGCAAGGTTGCAGAGAAATAGGAATGCTTTTACACTGTTGGTGGAAAAGTAAATGGTTAATCCATTGTGGAAGACAGTGACAGTGTGGCGATTCCTCAAAGATTTAGAACCAGAAATACCATTTGACCCAGCAATCCCATTGCAGGGTATATACCCAAAGGAATATAAATCATTCTATTATAAAGACATATGCATGTTTACATTCATGGCAGCACTATTCACAATAGCAAAGACATGGAATCAACCCAAATGCCCATCAATGATGGTCTGGATAAAGAAAATATGGTACATATACACCATGGAATATTATGCAGCCATAAAAAGGAAGGAGATCAAGTCCTTTGCAGGGATATGGATGAAGGTGGAAGCCATTATCCTCAGCAAACTCACACAGGAACAGAAAACCAAACACCACATGTTCTCATATATAACTGGGAACTGAGCAATGAGAACACATGGACACAGGGAGAGGAACAACACACACTGGGGCCTGTTGGGGGAGGGTGGTGATGGGAGGATCATTAGCAAAAATAGCTAATGCATGCCAGGGTTAATACCTAGGTGATGAGTTGACAGGTGCAGCAAACCAACATGGCACACATTTACCTATGTAACAAACCTGCACATCCTACACATGTACCCTGGAACTTAAAAAAAAATTAAATTAAAAGACAAGCTTAAAGAGTTAATGAAAAATAATTAGATACAAGAAGACTTTGATTTTCAGAAACCTGAAACAATAGTTATAATTTTGCTTTTAACATATATTCAAATCCTTTGATACTGTTCCTTTCTAGAGGTGCAGCTTAATTCCCTCTCTTGAGTGTGGCTTGGACTTAATGAGGCACTTCTGAAATGGCCTGGTTCTGTGTTCCCACCCAAATCTCATCTTGAGTTGTTATGCAAATTGTAATCCCTACCTATTGGGGGAGGGACCTCATGGGAGTTGATTGGATCATGGGGACGGTGCCCCCATGCTGTTCTCCTGATGCTGAGGGAATTCTCATGAGATCTGATGGTTTTATAAGGGGCTTTTCCCTGCTTCATTGTGCATTTCTCTCTCCTGTCACCACATGAAGAAGGACGGGTTTGCTTCCACTTCTGCCATGACTGTAAGTTTCCTGGGGCAGCCTCCTCAGTCATGCAGAACTGTGGGTCAATTAAACCTCTTTCCTTTATAAATTACCCAGTCTCAGGCATTTCTTTATAGCAGTGTGAGAATGGACTAATACAACTTCTAACTTATAGAATAGTGCCAACATAACAGTTTGTGACTCTGGGTGTAGAACATAAAACTAACTGCGGCTTCCACCTTCTCTCTCTCTGAATCTGGGATCATGAGCTCTGGGGGAAGCCAGCCGCTGTGCCATAAGCAGCCCTGCAGGAAGGTCCACATGACTGAGAACTGAGGCCTTCTGGGAACAGACAACAAGGAACCAGGCCTTTTCCAACAGCCATGTGACTGATCCATGTTTCTTGTGAATTCCCAGCCCCAGCGAAGCCCTCAGATGCTGCGGCCCCTGGCTGACAACTGGAGTGCAACCTTGTGAGAGGCCCTGAGCAGGAAGCACTCAGGGAAACCTCTCCTGGATTCCTGACGATTGGAAACTGTGGGAGATGAGAAACATTTGTTGTTTCGAGCTAAGTTTTACGTAATTTGTTATGCAACAGTAAATAATATATTTTCACAAGAGAGGATGTATTATTACACATTAAATTGCATTTGCTCTAAATGTGTCATCATCATCATTATTATTTTTGAGACAGGGTCTTGCTCTGTCACCCAGGCTGGAATGCAGTGGCATGATCACCATGCACTGCAGTGTCGAACTCCTGGGGTCAAGGGACTCTCTGACCTCAGCCTCCTGAGTAGCTGCGACTACCATCATGAACTACCATGCCTGGCTAATTTTCTAATTTTTTGTATAGATGGAGGTTTTGCCCAGGCTGATCTTGAACTTCTGGAGTCAACAAATCTCCATTCCTCTGCCTTCCACAGTGCTAGGATGACAGACGTGAGCCACCACACCTGGCCTAAATTAATTATAAGATATTAAACATGTAACTTAGTTTTAAAAAGTAAGGACAATTTCCATGGCTGAAGAGGATGTATTTTATGACCATTCACAATGATCACGTTACTTGAACTTCACTTTCCAACTGTGTCCCAATTAAACACAAAAGGAAGATCCAACCCTTGCTAGGCTGATTCTATGATGGCCTCAACAAGCAGCTCCTGGTCATTCACCTTCCTCCAGTTATTCAACCAACTCTAATGTAGGTGCTGCTGTGAAGGGATTTAGCAGATATAATTAAGGGTCTCAATTAGTTGACTTTATGCTGCGTTTATCCTGCTTGGACTGTCCTAATCAGGTGAGCCCTTGAAAGGACTGGGTTCTTCATGAGCATAGAGACTTACAGTGTGAAAGGGACTCAGCATGAGGGGTTTCCTCCACCATGGGCTTTGAAAAGGAAGGGGCTATGGGCCGGGCGCGGTGGCTCACGCCTGTAATCCCGACACTTTGGGAGGCCGAGGCGGGCGGATCATGAGGTCAGGAGGTCGAGACAATCTTGGCTAACAAGGTGAAACCCTGTCTCTACTAAGAAAAAAAAAAATTAGAGCATAGTGGTGGGCGCCTGTAGTCCCAGCTACTTGGGACTGAGACAGGAGAATGGTGTGAACCCAGGAGGCGGAGCTTGTAGTGAGCAGAGATCATTGGGCCACTGTACCCCAGCCTGGGCTACAGAGCCAGACTCCGTCTCAAAAAAAAAAAAAAAAGAAAAAAGAAAAATTAAGGGGCTGTGTAGGAAAGAACGCTGGTGAGCACCGGGAATTGAGCCCCTCCCAGTTCTCTACATTGACAGCTAGCCAGGAACAGGGACCTCAGTCTTACAACTGCAAGAAACTGCATTCTGCCACCTCTGTATAAACCCGAAGGAGGATTCAAAATGAAAACACAGCTTTTGGAAGCCCAGAATGGAGATTCTATCCACATCTTGCCCAGATTTCTGACCAAGGAACTATAAGCAGATAAATGTGTGTTGTTTTGCCAGGCGTGGTAGTGAGCGAATGAATTGATGAATTGATATACACACTAGTTGCATAAAATAAAATCTTTCTGAACTTTTTCAGTGTTTTACAGTTTATAATTATCTGTGATGCAATTTAATACACTCATATTTCATTCATTAAGTCAACAAAAATTAACTTAGTCCCTACAATGAACGAGGTATCCCCTCATATGCTCAAGTGCCTGACACTCCAGAAGCTTCACAAGACCGAGGTGGAGACACTGGAGTGTTTTAAGTGGAGAAATGACACACTCCGACTCACAGGAGCAGGGCCACTGTGAAAAGAACAGTTACGTAGCAGGTCATGGGACAGTGCTAGTGTCACAATTCATGAGTGAGAGTGTGGTGGGAACTAAGGGGAGAGGAGGGCCTGAAGGATGAGAAGGATAGAGGGAAGGGCTGGAGAAGCAGGAGGTGAGGAAAAGGAGCAGAGGAAAGAATTTGAAAGCAGCAGAATTCTTAGGTTTAAAGACATTGTTTTATGGATTTTAATACATCCATCTACAGAGCCTAGCAGGGTGTTCTTGGCAGTTGGCCTTTAATACCTCATGTGGGTCTGCCTAAAAACTATTTTTTATGTTAATCAGGTTTAAAAATTACTAAGTGTTCCTATAAAATATACACAACACTTAGAAGTGGATACTTCCTAAAAACAGGCAGTGCATGAGCACTAGTGAGGGGCATTGTGACTGCCTTGAACAGTTGCAACTTTGAGGTGAATAAAGCCTGTAATGGCTTCTGGTTGCAACATATAGGAACACAGTGGCTACTTTGTATTGAGGAGATGTCGTGGACTCACACAGAAACTCAGAGCTAAGGAATGATGGCAAATTTAAAGTAAGACAAGCAGGAGTCACAGATACATTGTCTGGGAAAGTGCAACTTAGTAGCTTTGTGAGTCCTGTTGTAATGCTTTTGGACACATTTATACATTAAGGGGCCAAAGTCACATTTTTTACCTATTAGATTCCTGATCATTCAGGGGTTACCAAGATTCTGCTACCCACTGTAGTTAATAAACAAAGAGCAAATTGGTCTCTATTCTGTCTCATGCACTCAGGCACAACTTTTCCGGATTAAAAACAAAAACAACAACAAAAATCTACACCTCTATTCCCAGAGCAAGCTTACTCTCTGGCACCAAACTCCATGGGGTGATTTTTCTTCTAGAAGAGTCCAGGTGGACAGGTAAGGAGTGGGAGTCAGGGAGTCCAGTTCAGGGACAGAGATAATGGGATGAAAAGTGAAAGGAGAGGGACGGGGCCCATGCCGAGGGTTTCTCCCTTGTTTCTCAGACAGCTCCTGGGCCAAGACTCAGGGAGACATTGAGACAGAGCGCTTCGCACAGGAGCAGAGGGGTCAGGGCGAAGTCCCAGGGCCCCAGGCGTGGCTCTCAGGGTCTCAGGCCCCGAAGGCGGTGTATGGATTGGGGAGTCCCAGCCTTGGGGATTCCCCAACTCCGCAGTTTCTTTTCTCCCTCTCCCAACCTACGTAGGGTCCTTCATCCTGGATACTCACGACGCGGACCCAGTTCTCACTCCCATTGGGTGTCGGGTTTCCAGAGAAGCCAATCAGTGTCGTCGCGGTCGCTGTTCTAAAGTCCGCACGCACCCACCGGGACTCAGATTCTCCCCAGACGCCGAGGATGGCCGTCATGGCGCCCCGAACCCTCCTCCTGCTACTCTCGGGGGCCCTGGCCCTGACCCAGACCTGGGCGGGTGAGTGCGGGGTCGGGAGGGAAACCGCCTCTGCGGGGAGAAGCAAGGGGCCCTCCTGGCGGGGGCGCAGGACCGGGGGAGCCGCGCCGGGAGGAGGGTCGGGCAGGTCTCAGCCACTGCTCGCCCCCAGGCTCCCACTCCATGAGGTATTTCTTCACATCCGTGTCCCGGCCCGGCCGCGGGGAGCCCCGCTTCATCGCCGTGGGCTACGTGGACGACACGCAGTTCGTGCGGTTCGACAGCGACGCCGCGAGCCAGAAGATGGAGCCGCGGGCGCCGTGGATAGAGCAGGAGGGGCCGGAGTATTGGGACCAGGAGACACGGAATATGAAGGCCCACTCACAGACTGACCGAGCGAACCTGGGGACCCTGCGCGGCTACTACAACCAGAGCGAGGACGGTGAGTGACCCCGGCCCGGGGCGCAGGTCACGACCCCTCATCCCCCACGGACGGGCCAGGTCGCCCACAGTCTCCGGGTCCGAGATCCACCCCGAAGCCGCGGGACTCCGAGACCCTTGTCCCGGGAGAGGCCCAGGCGCCTTTACCCGGTTTCATTTTCAGTTTAGGCCAAAAATCCCCCCGGGTTGGTCGGGGCGGGGCGGGGCTCGGGGGACTGGGCTGACCGCGGGGTCGGGGCCAGGTTCTCACACCATCCAGATAATGTATGGCTGCGACGTGGGGCCGGACGGGCGCTTCCTCCGCGGGTACCGGCAGGACGCCTACGACGGCAAGGATTACATCGCCCTGAACGAGGACCTGCGCTCTTGGACCGCGGCGGACATGGCAGCTCAGATCACCAAGCGCAAGTGGGAGGCGGTCCATGCGGCGGAGCAGCGGAGAGTCTACCTGGAGGGCCGGTGCGTGGACGGGCTCCGCAGATACCTGGAGAACGGGAAGGAGACGCTGCAGCGCACGGGTACCAGGGGCCACGGGGCGCCTCCCTGATCGCCTATAGATCTCCCGGGCTGGCCTCCCACAAGGAGGGGAGACAATTGGGACCAACACTAGAATATCACCCTCCCTCTGGTCCTGAGGGAGAGGAATCCTCCTGGGTTTCCAGATCCTGTACCAGAGAGTGACTCTGAGGTTCCGCCCTGCTCTCTGACACAATTAAGGGATAAAATCTCTGAAGGAGTGACGGGAAGACGATCCCTCGAATACTGATGAGTGGTTCCCTTTGACACCGGCAGCAGCCTTGGGCCCGTGACTTTTCCTCTCAGGCCTTGTTCTCTGCTTCACACTCAATGTGTGTGGGGGTCTGAGTCCAGCACTTCTGAGTCTCTCAGCCTCCACTCAGGTCAGGACCAGAAGTCGCTGTTCCCTTCTCAGGGAATAGAAGATTATCCCAGGTGCCTGTGTCCAGGCTGGTGTCTGGGTTCTGTGCTCTCTTCCCCATCCCGGGTGTCCTGTCCATTCTCAAGATGGCCACATGCGTGCTGGTGGAGTGTCCCATGACAGATGCAAAATGCCTGAATTTTCTGACTCTTCCCGTCAGACCCCCCCAAGACACATATGACCCACCACCCCATCTCTGACCATGAGGCCACCCTGAGGTGCTGGGCCCTGGGCTTCTACCCTGCGGAGATCACACTGACCTGGCAGCGGGATGGGGAGGACCAGACCCAGGACACGGAGCTCGTGGAGACCAGGCCTGCAGGGGATGGAACCTTCCAGAAGTGGGCGGCTGTGGTGGTGCCTTCTGGAGAGGAGCAGAGATACACCTGCCATGTGCAGCATGAGGGTCTGCCCAAGCCCCTCACCCTGAGATGGGGTAAGGAGGGAGATGGGGGTGTCATGTCTCTTAGGGAAAGCAGGAGCCTCTCTGGAGACCTTTAGCAGGGTCAGGGCCCCTCACCTTCCCCTCTTTTCCCAGAGCTGTCTTCCCAGCCCACCATCCCCATCGTGGGCATCATTGCTGGCCTGGTTCTCCTTGGAGCTGTGATCACTGGAGCTGTGGTCGCTGCCGTGATGTGGAGGAGGAAGAGCTCAGGTGGAGAAGGGGTGAAGGGTGGGGTCTGAGATTTCTTGTCTCACTGAGGGTTCCAAGCCCCAGCTAGAAATGTGCCCTGTCTCATTACTGGGAAGCACCTTCCACAATCATGGGCCGACCCAGCCTGGGCCCTGTGTGCCAGCACTTACTCTTTTGTAAAGCACCTGTTAAAATGAAGGACAGATTTATCACCTTGATTACGGCGGTGATGGGACCTGATCCCAGCAGTCACAAGTCACAGGGGAAGGTCCCTGAGGACAGACCTCAGGAGGGCTATTGGTCCAGGACCCACACCTGCTTTCTTCATGTTTCCTGATCCCGCCCTGGGTCTGCAGTCACACATTTCTGGAAACTTCTCTGGGGTCCAAGACTAGGAGGTTCCTCTAGGACCTTAAGGCCCTGGCTCCTTTCTGGTATCTCACAGGACATTTTCTTCCCACAGATAGAAAAGGAGGGAGTTACACTCAGGCTGCAAGTAAGTATGAAGGAGGCTGATGCCTGAGGTCCTTGGGATATTGTGTTTGGGAGCCCATGGGGGAGCTCACCCACCCCACAATTCCTCCTCTAGCCACATCTTCTGTGGGATCTGACCAGGTTCTGTTTTTGTTCTACCCCAGGCAGTGACAGTGCCCAGGGCTCTGATGTGTCTCTCACAGCTTGTAAAGGTGAGAGCTTGGAGGGCCTGATGTGTGTTGGGTGTTGGGTGGAACAGTGGACACAGCTGTGCTATGGGGTTTCTTTGCGTTGGATGTATTGAGCATGCGATGGGCTGTTTAAGGTGTGACCCCTCACTGTGATGGATATGAATTTGTTCATGAATATTTTTTTCTATAGTGTGAGACAGCTGCCTTGTGTGGGACTGAGAGGCAAGAGTTGTTCCTGCCCTTCCCTTTGTGACTTGAAGAACCCTGACTTTGTTTCTGCAAAGGCACCTGCATGTGTCTGTGTTCGTGTAGGCATAATGTGAGGAGGTGGGGAGAGCACCCCACCCCCATGTCCACCATGACCCTCTTCCCACGCTGACCTGTGCTCCCTCTCCAATCATCTTTCCTGTTCCAGAGAGGTGGGGCTGAGGTGTCTCCATCTCTGTCTCAACTTCATGGTGCACTGAGCTGTAACTTCTTCCTTCCCTATTAAAATTAGAACCTGAGTATAAATTTACTTTCTCAAATTCTTGCCATGAGAGGTTGATGAGTTAATTAAAGGAGAAGATTCCTAAAATTTGAGAGACAAAATTAATGGAACGCATGAGAACCTTCCAGAGTCCACGTGTTGCTTATGCTGATTTGTTGCAGGGGAGGAGAGTAGATGGGGCTGTGCCCAGTTTCTGTTCCGGCCACCATGGGCTTTATGTGGTCACAGCTCACCTGGGTCATCTTTGCTGCTCCATTGTCCTTGGCCCTTCAGTAGAACCTTGTCCCACCAAGACCTGTGATCACAGGGAGTTGGATGTCACCTAGGGTGGTCCCTGCATACAAATCTCCTTGTGGTATCAAGAGACAAATTTTCAGACCTGTCCAGGTCTTGCCTTCCTCCCAGGGCTTTTTCCTTAACGGTATTTTCGATTTTTCTCCAATCTTTTTAAAGGAACCAGATTGTGACATTTGCAGAGAGGAGGGGTCCCATAGTTTCTCATCATGGTTAACTTTCTGTTGGAACTCCTCTTCTGCCCTCCTACTCTTCTTCCTGCTCTGAGTTGTAGTAATCCTAGTGCTGGCTCCAATCCAAACTCATAGATTTATAAAGCAGAGTCTAATTTAGATTCATATGTGGTTGGAAAATTGTACCCATAAGGCTAGGGTTATTGTTCCTGAAGAGAAATATATGGTTTTGTGCTGAAGTGTGCAGGAGGGTTGGTGTGGGAGGAGGGAGGACACACAAGCAGCCCTGGTGAGAAAAGCACTGGCGGCATGGATGTCCACGTGAACTTATGTTCTTTAGCTGCCACAAAACAGCATTTGCCCTGTGGCTACATTAATAAAGATATGGGCTTTAGAATAGGGAGGTGCTCTACAGTGATCATTCATTCAACTGACATTTGTTGTCTGCTAGGGATATGACTGCTTTTGCATTTAGAAAGCATCCTTAAAGTAAAAACAGAAAAATGTCTGGGGTTATGGTGCATACGTTCTAGATGCAAGCTTGTCCAACCCGCGGCTCGTGGGCTGCATGTGGCCCAGGACAATTTTGAATGTGAGGACTTTTTTGCTTATCTGTGGTGAACCTGAGTCCTGGAGTGAGTGCACCCACCTCCCTCAGGGTCAGGAGTGAATGCTTTAGGAACCCTCCTTTTCAGTGACCTACAAAAGATAGAGGGCACATTTACTGTGATAACCCAGAGTATCAGCCAAGGGGGCTTGACCTTCAAGGAGTCGTGGGGAAGGTTAATAAAGGGTGGTGTCCCAGGGTCAGAAAAGATGGGCAGACAGCAAGGGCACTGCTTGATATCTATGATAAGCATGTGGAATTGAGGAGCAAGCTTCAGATTCAGAATCCAGTGACTAAGGACATATCTATATCCCTAAGAGAAAGAACCTTGGGACACGATGATGGTTATATGCTGGGACAATTCCATCAGCCCTTCTGCAAAGGAGCCTATAGCCATTTAATCAGGAGATGGGATAAGTATTAACATTGGGTGTGAGCTGACATTGCTGCCCAGATTCCTACAGCACCATTATGTCCCCCATCACACTGGGGCTTACAGAAGCCAGGGAATAAACCTAGACACATTATGCCCCATGGTGGAATCACCAGTTCCATAAATCCTGTCCTGGTTATCTCCCCATTCTCTGAGTGCATAATTGGCCTTGATGCACTGGCAACTGGAGTCACCCCACACTGTGTCCCTAGTCTGGAGAGTAAGGGATCTCACTGTGCTGAAGCCCAAAGGGAAACATCCCTCATCCAAGCCAAACCAGAAGCAATATTGTGCCTCAGGGTGGGTCTTGTGGAGGGTACTGCAGGTATTATAGGGGTGGCACTGCCATTACAGACCTGAACGATGCGGGGTGGTGTTGGGATTGCCTGTTATCTCCATATAACTCAGCAATCTGTACCTGCAGAAGCCTGATATGGCTAAAGAATGAATGGAATTACTCCAGACTTGACCAAGTAGGAGTCCTGATTGCAGCTGCCATGCTGGCTGGATATCACTGCCTGGGGAGATTAATAAGGCCTCAGGCACATGGCAAGCAGCTGTGGATTTGGTGAGTGCATTCCCTCCCATTTCATTTAGAAGATGGATATGGAATGATTCACATTCACATGGGATTTATAATACATTTATTGATAGCTTGCATCAGGGCTACCTTAACTCCTCAACCTTCTATAAATATCACCTTAAGAGACCTGGACGAATCAGACATCCCACAGAATACTAAATCTCTTCATTTCATTGGCAATATCACATAAATTGGGAAGGATGAACAACAGCAGGAAAGTACGCTGAATTCCCTGGCAAAACATGTGCACTACAGAAGGTGAAGATAAAACTTACAGAGCTTCAAGAGTGGCCACTGCAGTGAAGTGTTATGGGTCCAGTGGTTAGGGGCATGCAGAGCTCCCCCCCGCCACACACACACACAAAGTAAAAGACAAACTTGCATCTTGCATCCTCACCAGAAGGAAGGAAGCACACTACTTGATGAGCCTCTCTGGGTTCTGGCAACACCACATTCCACATCTAAGTTTATTGCTTTGGCTGACACTCTGGGTGATATAGGAGGAGGCCAGCTTTGAGTGGGGCCTGGACTGGAAAGGACACTGCAGCAGACCCAGGCTGTGGTGCAGTCAGTCACCATCCCTCACACCCCTGGTGCTGGAGGTGGCGGTCTGGGGAAAGAAGCAGGATGGAGCTGAACCAAGCATCAGTGGGAAAGTCAGAATGCAGGGCCTGGGATCAGGAGTAAGGCCATGGAGTCCACAGCAGAGAAACATGCTCCATGTTAGAAGCAACTTTTAGCATGTTACTGTCCCTGATAAGATAGAATGCTTGAGCATAGGACACCAAGCAACCATGTGATTCCAAGTGCCCGTGTGTATTGGCTTCTATGTGACCCATAGAGTCATTCACTGGACAGGCCCAGCGGCATCTATCATGAGACGAAAACGGTCCATGTCGGTTGAGCCTCAATTCCATGTTAACACCCACAGAAAACACCCAGTCCTGATGTGGCCCTGAATAACCAAACAAATTGAAGACAAATTGAAGTTAGCCAGTCTACATCATGGATCAGCCCAGGCCTGATAGGAAGGACCCGTGAGTGGAGCAACCACAGTGGCAGGGATGAAGCTACAAATGAGTCCAGCAGCACTGTCTCTCCACTACCAAGGCCCACCCAGCTACTGCTTCCTCTGAATACTCTGCTCGTGAGCATTGCAGACCAATGATAGGCACCAATAGGGCACCATTTCTTAAAGTAACTGACTAGCCCCTAAGTGACAAGTTGAATAGCTTGAACACCATCCATCCTGGAAGGGGCAGAAGTTTATCCTCACAGGGATAGGCTCACAGGGATGCGATGTGGTGTGGTTTTCCTCTCTGCTCTCAGACCCTCAGTCAACAACACTATTGGCATTCCTGATCCACTGGCTCAGAATTTCAGTACATTATCTGCCTGGGGGACACACCTGTTGGGGAAGGGGATGAAGTGTGGGCCCTGACCATGGGATCCCCTGGTCGTATCACCACCTGCGCCTCTCAAGTGCTGCCAGGCACACAGAGTCATGGACAGGACTCTACAGGCACAACTCAGTACCAGCTTGGATGAAACCCTCTGAGGAATGGGTGCCATCTTTCAGGATGTGATGCATGTATTGAATCAAAGACGTCTCTAAGGCACTGTTTTCAGAAGGAAGAATACGCGGGTCCAAAAACCAAGAAGTCAAAGCAGGTGTGTCTCATTCCTTATATTCACCCCCAGGGTGATTTACTTATAAGTAAATAAATAAATACATAACATGAATACTTAAATAAATTTATTTATGCATGTATGTATGTATGTATGTATTTTATTCATTATATTCACCCCCAGGGTGATTTTGCTCTTCTTACTTCCAAAATCTGGACTCTGCAGGGTAGGAGGTCCTGGTTTCCCAAAGAGGGCACCCTGGCAAGGAGACAAATGAGAGTCCATGGAACTACACATTGTGGTTGCACCCAGGGATATTTGAATAGTATGTGCCCAGAGACAAGCAGGTGAGAAGAGGAGGAGGCAGGGCTGCTATCACACAATGAGGGCAGGAGAAGTGTGTGTGGAAACCAGGAATCCACTTGGGGACGTCCTGGTTTCCCTTGTCCGTTGTGTGAGCAGAATCATCCAGCAACCCAGCCTGAGAGGGTTTGATATTCAAGAGCCCAGAACCCTCAGGAAGGAAGGATTGAGTGATACTCCTAGGTAATGTCCCACGTCTCTGCTTCTGTGCTCTGACATCCTCAGCAGGATTAGTGCAGAAGCCCTGCTTCCATGAGTTGTTCCCAGCCAGTGACCGGTCACAGCAAGCACACTAAGGCAGGCCATTACTGGGAGACATGGGACTCCTCTGATGGCCAAATGTGGCTCCAGGACTCCTCCATGCCCTTCCTCAACTCTCCTTAGACTGCCTCTGCTCTAGGATGCGTCGAACAGACTTTGTCTCCTTCTGTCCAGCACTTGGGGTCACACTTGTATCATTGTCTGCTGCCTTTTCCAGGGATTTCTGGCTCGCGTCTCATATTCCCTTACAGGTGTGTCCCCTCATAAGATGCCGTAGACTTTAAGCTCATCTTGGCATCTGCTCCTTGGAGGACTTGGACTAAAAAGCATTGCCATGTGCACACCAATAACTCTTACTTATTCCAACCTGTAAAATCCATCTCTTTATCCAACTTCTGCCACCCCCATAAAATCTATTTTGCGCGCGTTCGTAGTATCTCTTTGAATTAACAGATATTTGTTGTATTAAGCCACTAAATTTTGAGGTAGTTTGTGACACAGCAGTTAATAACTATTAAGGCTTTCTTAAGTTTCTGTTATTCCATGGATGTTATCTACATCTTTTAATTTCCTGCATTTTAATAATATTAGCCACACTTGCTGTTTCTAATCCTTTCCTCCTATTCTTTTTTGAAAATGTTCATTTTGTCTTTCTCTGTCCTTCCATCTTTCTTTCCTCCTTTCCTCCCTCAGAGCTTTCTCCCTCCCTCCACTTTTTCACAAACTCTATGTGGTTAGGCTAAAAAGAAGCATTATTTGAATCTTATGCTTAAAGTATAATGCCATAATTTACAGGATAAAAGTAAAGAAAAGGAAGGTATTAATGGAATATGAAAAAATGCCTAGGGTGATTCTGTAGCCAAGACAATGGTTTTTTAACATGTAATCTCCACCTTCAACTGAATGTTTTCAGAACACATGAGCAACATAAGTTCTTTCCCATTCTTGGTACAAGCACTTGGGAAATCAAATTAGCCTTATCTTGTATGATTAATGTCCATACACTGTATAATCCCACCATCTGCTCCTGATCATACACTCTGGGGATATCTTTGGCTATGTGTCCCAGAGACGTGTACACCAATGTTTATGGCAAAAAAACTGGAAACAATCACATATGCATCAATGGGAATTAACAAAATTCTGATATAATTACGAAAAGTAAAATTTTAGCAGTAAAAATGATTGAACAGCACCCTCCCACATCAGAGATAACTCTCCTACACATAACATGCATCACAGAAGAATACATATAGTGTGAGTTCTCTGTACAGCGAAGTTAAAAAAACAGGTCAGACTGTGATTTGGGTATATATATTTATTGTAAAAATCTTTAGAGACAGTGCAAAGGACTAGTAAATACAAGACTCAAGATAGAGGTTCCTTTTGGTGGATAGGATTGGGCAACAGTCTAGGGTGGCTTCATAGGTTCTGTTTCTTATGCCAGGAGAGGATGTCCAGGTAATTAGTTACTTGATCATAAATCTTTATTTATTTATTTATTCATTTATTTTTGAGATGGAGTCTCACTCTTGTTGCCCAAGCGGGAGTGCAATGGTGTGATCTCGTCTCACTGCAACCTCCGCCTCCCATGTTCAAGCGATTCTCCTACCTCAGCCTCTGAGTAGCTAGGATTACAGGCACCTGCCATGATGCCCGGCTAATTTTTGTATTTTTCGTACAGACTGTGCTTCACCATGTTGGCCAGGCTGGTCTCCAACTCCTGATCTCAGGTGATCCACCCACTTCGGCCTCCCAAAATGCTGGGATTAGAAGCATGAGCCACCACTCCTGGCCCACAAATATTTATAGTGGCAATTTTCAAAATGCACCTTGTGTGCCATTCCTGATTATTTGGAAATGAAAGAGAAAAGAAAACACAAAAGTTCATTGCAAGGATCCTTAGCAATAACTACATGAGTTAAAACAAAGCCACAGCCAATTGTAAGGAGCCATGTGACAGAGAGTACCAGGATGCCATGAAAAAATAGCCTTTGATAGAAATAGGTCATTTGATTCTTGGCTAATTGGCAACTCTCTACATTCTCTGGTGTACAATGTTCAATCTGATGTGCAAGGCAATTGTATCTCGCAAAGAATTTGAGAATTTGATATGTTGCTCAATTTTACCACGGATACAAGTGAATTAAACTTTTACAGAATAGAAAAAAAGCACTGTCGAGCAAAATAAATTAAATGAAAACACATAAAGGAATAACTAGTGATGAAATAGCAATATGAATGGAAAACACGAAAGAGCTTCTTTTACAGCAACATTAGAAGCACAAAATAACTGTATTTTTCAGAATCATACTGGAGTCCAAATCACTTCTACCACATCTAATTAAAAAACACAGCGAAAGATGTTAAATTGATCAATGGATGCACACTGAATACCCAGTTATAGAAAAATCGTGTTCCTAGATTGGAGTTAACCATTTCCGCCTACCACATCAAACCAAATCTTTGTCGTGATGCTAAGCTAGCTGTACAGACAAAGATGTGAGACACATTTTCTCTAACTGCAAAGCACCCTGATTAGGTAAATATTTTTGTAGAAGCTTGAGTAAGAAAATTGACATTTTGGGCATTCTTAAACGGAATTAGTAGCTTCTGAGGAAAAAGAAAGATAGTTATGATTGTAAAGGCATTATTATACGGCACCAGTCGTGGGACTCTTTGGTCTAGCTACTGTATTTTCTCAACTTTCTTGCAACTCATCAAAGAGAACATTAATATTAAAGGCATTTGCAAAAAAAATCTGAGATATTGTTGTATCTCCATTCTCTGTCTCAAAGTTTTATTCATTACTTTACAAAAGATAATTTTAAAGTATTAAAGAAAATTAGTCAGATACAAGAAGTATTTGATTTACAAAATCCTGAAACAATAATGTTAATTGTGGTGCCAGCTACTTGGGAGGCTGAAGGAGGAGCATTGATGGCATGAGCCCAGGAGGTTGAGGCTTCAGTGAATCATGAGCATGCCACTGCATTCCAGCCAGGGCAACAGAGTGTTACTTTGTCTAAAAATAACTAACTAGCTAACTAACTAAATAAATAAATAAATAATGGAGGCAGTGCACGAACCCTGGTGAACGGCACTTTGGCTGCATTGAGCACTTGCAGATTTGAGGTGATTACATTCTGTACGTTACTTAACATGCATACTGTACATACTTAACATGCATATAAATTCTTTGATACTCCTCCTTGCAGAGGTGCAGCTTCATTGCCTTCCTGTGAGTGTGGCCTGAACTTAATGACTCACTTACAGACTGATAGAGTAATGTTGAGATAATAGTTTGTGACTCTGGGTGTAGATCATAAGACTCACTAAGTCTGGGAGCGGTCACTCACGCCTGTAATCCCAACACTTTGGGAGGTCAAGAGGGCAGATCATGAAGTCAGAAGTTCGAGACCAGCCTGGCCAAGATGGTGAAACCCCGTCTCTACTAAAAATACAAAAATTAGCCAGGTGTGGTGGTGCATGCCTGTAATCCCAGTTGCTCAGGAGGCTGAGGCAGGAGAATCACTTGAACCTGGAAGTCGGAGGTTGCAGTGAGCCAAGATCCAGCCACTGCATTCCAGCCTGGGTGACAGGGTGAGACTCTGTCTCAAAAAACAAACAAACAAAAAAAAAAACTCACTGCAGCTTCCTACTTTGGTTCTGGTTTTCTCTTTCTCTGGGATCATGAGCCTTGGGGGAAGCCAGCTGCTGTGTCATAAGCAGGCCTGTGGAAAGCTCCAAGTGACTAGGAAGTGAGGCCTCCTGGGGCCAGACAATAAGAAGATGAAGCCTCTTCCAACAGCCACGTGGGATATTCTTGTGACTTGTGAATCCCCAGCCCCATTTGAGCCCTCAGATGATAAAGCCCTGGATGACAATTAGACCGCAATTTTGTGAGTGGCCCTGAGCCAGAAGAACTTTGAGAAAACTTTCCTGGATTCCTGACCACTAGAAACTGTGGGACATGATAAATATTTGTTGATTTTAGTTGCTAAGTTTTAAGTGACTTGTTATGCATCAGTAGATAACTAATACACCTTCACAAGAGAGGATGAATCATTGAATTTTTCATTTGCTCTAAATTGATTATAAGATATTAAACATGTCATTTGCTTTTAATATTTAACAAGAATTTTCATGGTTATATAAGATATATTTTATTATCACTAACAATGATCAATTTTTTTTACCTTCAATTTGTATGTTCTATTCAAACACAAAAGGAAGATCCAGGCTATGCTAGGGTGATTCTATGATGACACCCCAATAACCACCCTTGGTTGCTCACATTACCCCAGTTACTCGGTTGACACTAATGTAGGTGCTGCTGTGAAGGGATTTTGCAGATGTATTCCAGGTCCCCTGTCAGTTGGCTTTAAGATGGGGATTATCCTGCTTGGACTGTCCTAATCAGGTAAGCTCTGAAAAGGACTGGGTTCTTCCTGAGAATAGAGACTCACAGTGTGAGAGGGATTCAGTGTGAGGGGCTTCCTCCATTGTGGGCTTTGAAAATGGTGGGATCATGGTGAAAGAACACTGGTGGCCAATAGGAAGTAGAAGCCCTCCCCACTGTCTACTCTGATAGCCTGAAGGAAACAGGGACCTTAGTCCTACAATTACCAGAAACCGAATTCTGCCAACGAGCTCTATATAAGCTTGGGGGAGAATCCCAATCTTAAGATGAGGATACAGCTTTGCGAAACCCTGAACAAAGAATCTCTGACACTAGGCCTGGATTTCTGATGAAGGAAATGCAGAAAAATAAATGAGTGCTCTTTTAAGCCACTAAGTTTGTGGTAATTGGTTATGTACTAATAGAAAATTCATAAACAGATTCAACAGCTAAGCATATGACATTTCCTCCAATGGAATGAATTTATGAACTGATATGCATAGTAGTTGCATAAAACCAAATGTTTCCTAACTTGCTTTGCATTTTTCATTTTGTGATTTTTGTGTGATACAATTTTTAACACAATCATATTTCATTCACTCAAGAAAATTAACTTAGTGCCTACTATGTGCCAGATATGCTTTTATATGCTGCAGACACAACTTTGATCAAAACAACCCAAAGCCCCTGTGCTTGTGCCTTCCATTTTAGAGGCTTCTTCAGAGTGAGATGGAGCCATTGGAGTGTTTTAAGTGAAGAAATGACACAATCTGACTCACATTAGCAGGATTGCTGACCTTTGTGGGGAGAACAGTCATGGGCAGCAGGCGAGGGACAGAGCTAGGGCCACAGTTCAGTAGTGACAGAGTAGTAGAGACTAAGGGGAGAGGAGGGCCTGATGGGTGACAGGGACAGAGAGAAGGGCTGGAGAAGCAGGAAGTGAGGTAAAGTAACAGAGAGAAAGAATTCTAAAGCAACGGAATTCTCAGACTTAAACACAGTGTTTTATAGATTTTTAATCCATTTATCCTCAGAGCCTGGCACAGTGTTACTTGCACCTTGATCTTTAATACATTCTGTGGGGCTGTCTAATAACTAATTGCCTCCTTATGATAAACAGGTTAGAAAAGAATACCAAGTGTCCCAATAAAATATGCACATAGCTTAGATGTGAATAATTCCTAAATATAGGCAGGTGCATGAGATGGCCATTGTGGCTCATGCCTGTAATACCAGCATTTTGGGAGGCTGAGGCAGGAGGATCATTTGAGCTCAGGAGTTCAAGACTAGCGAGAGCAACATAGGGAGACCTCATTTCTACAAATTTTTTTTTAGAAAAATTAGCCAGGAGTGGTGGTACAAGCCTGTGGTGCCAGATACTTGGAGGCTGAAGGAGGAGCATTGATCGCATGAGCCCAGGAGGTCGAGGCTTCAGTGAGTCATGAACGTGCCACAGCACTCCAGCTAGGGCAACAGAGTGATACTCGGTCTAAAAATAACTAACTAACTAAATAAATAAATAATAAATAAAGGCGGTGCATGAGCACTGGTGAAGGGCACTTTGGCTGCATTGAGCACTTGCAAATTTGAGGTGATTAAATTCTGTACAGGCTCCTGGTTGCAATATACGGTAACACATTGTGCTTTGTATTGAGAAGTCCTGGACTCGCGCACACAAACTCAGGGCTATAAGATAAAGATAATTTAAAAATACAACAGACCAGAGTCACAGATACACAGTCTGGGAAAGTAAAACTTAACTTTGTGAGTCTAACTGCAATGCGTTTAGACACATTTATATATAATGGGGCCAAAAATCACCTCTTTTACAAATTAGATTCGTGACCATTCAGGGCTACCAAGATTGTGCTAGCCACTGTACTGCGCTACCCACTGTTACTAAGATTGTGCTACTCCGCTGCGGGACCAGCGGAGATCCTCCACCCAATAAAAGCCCCAGGCGCCTATACCGGATTCCATTTTCAGTTCAGGCCCAAATCCCCGGGGGTTGGTCGAGGCTGAGGCGGGGCTCAGCGGCCTGGGCTGACCGCAGTCGCTGGGAATGGGTCTCACACCCTTCAATGGGTACACAGCTGCGACGTGGACTCGGACTGCAGTCTCCTCAGTGGGTATGAACATACCCTATCACGGCGCCAGTTACCTCGTCCGAAACCAGGAACTGCGCTCTTGGACTGCAGCGGACAAGGCGGCTCAGATGCCCTGGCGGAGGAACAGGCAGAGCTGCTCAAAACCTACCTGCAGGGAAGGTGGGCGGAGTGGCTCAGCAAAGTCCTTAAGAATGGGAAGGAGAGGCTGCAGTGCCCAGGTACCAGTGGCCACGGGGTGCCTCCCTGATCTCCTGCAGATCTCCTTGAGTCACATTCCAAAAGAAGGGAAGGAAAATGGGACCAACGCTAAAACATCCCTCTCCCTCTTGTGAGGAGGAAGAGTCCTCCCGGGTTTTCAGATCCTATACTAGAGAGTGACTGAGGGCCTGCCCTGCACTCTGGGACAGTTAAAGGACGAAGTCTCTGAGGGAAAGGAGGGGAAGACAATCCCTGAAATACTGATCCGCGGTCCCCTTTGTCCCCACAGCAGCCTTGGGCACCAGGAATTTTCCTCTCAGGCCTTGTTCTCTGCCTCACACTCAATGTGTATTTGTGGGTCTGATTCCAGCTTTTTTGACCTCGGCCTCCGCTCAGGTCAGGACCAGAAATCTCTGTTCCGGCCTCAGACACTAAAACTTTCTAAGGAATAGAAGATTGCCCCAGGTGCCTGTGTCTAGACTGGTGTCTGAGTTGCTCCCTTCCCCACTTCAGGTGTCCCGTCAATTTTCAGGATGGTCCCATGAGGTGGAATGTCCCATGAGGAATGCAAAGTGCCTGAATTTTCTGACTCTTCCCCTCAGAACCCCAAAGACTCACATGACCCACCACCCCATCTCTGACCATGAGGCCACCATGAGGTGCTGGGCTCTGGGCTTCTACCCTGTGGAGATCACACTGACCCAGTAGTGGGATGGACAGGACCAAATGTAGGATGCAGAGGTTGTGGAGACCACACCTGCAGGGTACAGAACCTTCCAGAAGTGGGCAGCTGTGGTGGTGTCTTCTGGAGAGGAGCAGAGATACACATGCCATGTGCAGCACGATGGGCTGCCAGAGCCCCTCACCCTGAGATGGGTAAGGAAGGGGATGAGGGGTCATGTCTCTTCTCACGGGAACTAGGAGCCCTTCTGGAGCCCTTCAGCAAGGTCAGGGTTTGAGGCCTGATGGTCAGGGCCCCTCACGTTCCCCTCCTTTCTTACAGCTGTCTTCCCAGCCCACCATCCCCATCATGGGCATCGTTACTGTCCTGGTTGTTCTTGGTGCTGTTTTCACCAGAGCTGTGGTCACTGCTGTGATGTGAAGAATAAGAGCCCAGGTAGGAAAGGGGTGAGCTCCGAGTTTTCTTCTTCCATTGGTGGATTCCCAGCCCCAGATGGGAGTTGGCTTGTATCCTGCCTAGTCATGAGGCACCATCTCTGTCTATCAACACTTACTCTTTTGTAAAGAACTTGTGAAAATGAAGGACAAATTTATCACCTTCATTGGAGTCATGGGAACCTGACTCCCAGCAGTCACAGGTCAGGGGAAGGTACCCGCAGAGGACAGACCTCACTAGGACAATTAGTCCAGTTTCAACACATCCTCTTACCTAGGGTTTCCTGATTCTGACCTGGGTCTGCAGTCACAGTTCTGGACACTCCTCTGGGATCTCATGACCCTGCTTCCTCCCTGGCCTTTCACAGTTTATTTTCTTTCCACAGATGGAAAAGGAGGCAGCTATGCTCAGGCTTCATGCAAGTGTGGTAGGGGTGGGAAGAGTGATCCCTGAGATCCTTGTGATAGTGTAGACAGGAGCCCATGGGGGAGCTCACCACCCCAAAATTCCTCCTTTAGTCACATCATCTGTGGGCTCTGACCAGATTTTGTTTTTGTTCCACCCGAAACAGGGACAGTACCCAGGGCTCTGATGTGTCTCTCAAGGCTTGTAAAATGACAACTTAGGGGGCCTGAAGGGAAGGAGGAGTTGGGGCATAGGGGACACAACTAGGCTCTGGAGATTCTTTGATTTGGAATTTTTCAGGGTGTGGTGGGCTGTTCAGTGTCACAACTTACTATGACTGATCTGAATTTGTTCATGACTATTTTTTTTCTAAGACTGCCTTGTGAGGGACTGAGATGCAAGATTTGTTCATGCCTCCCCTTTGTGACTTCAAGGGCCTCTGTCTTCTCTTTCTGCCAAGGTGTCTGAATGTGTCTACATCCCTGGTATCATGTGAGAAGTGGGGAGACCAGCCCACCCTCATGTCCACCATGACCCCTGATATTGTTTGGATCTGTGTCTCCACCCAAATCTCATGTTCACTTGTAATCACTAAGGTTGGAGGTGGCACCTCAGGGAGGTGATTGGCTCATGAGGATGGATCCTTCATGAATAGTTTAGGACCATCTCTTTGGTGCTGTTCTTGTGATAGTTCTCACAACGTCTGGTGTTTAAAAGTGTGTGGTACCTCCCTGCTCTCTCTCCCTCCTACTCCAGGCTTGTAAGTCATGCCTACTTCCCCTTAACCTTCCAGCATGATTGAAAATTTCCTGAGGTCCTCTCATAAGTTGAGCAGATGCCAGAATCATACTTTCATATAGCCTGCAGAACCATGAGCCAATTTAAACCTTCTGTCTTTATAAATTACCCAGTCTCAGGTATTTCTTTATAACAGTTGAGAATGAATAATTCAGAAAATCGGTACCAGAAGTTGGGTACTGCAATAAACGTAGCTGAAAATGTGAAAATGTCTTTGGAACTGGGTAACAGGTAGAGGTTGGAAGAGTTTGGAGAGTTTAGAAGACAAGAAAATGGGGGAAAACTTGCAACTTCCTAGAGGTTTGTTAAATTGTTGTGACCAAAATGCTGATAGTGATATAGACAATAGAGCCCAGGCTGATGAGGTCTCAGATGGAGATGAGGAACTTACTGGGACCTAGAGAAAAGGTCACTTTTGTTATGCATTGGCAAAGAACTTGGAGGCATTCTGCCCCCTCCTTAGGGATCTGTGGAACTTTGAACATGAGGGTGATGATTAAGGGTATCTGATAGAAGAAATTTCTAAGCAGCATAGCATTCAAGATTTGGCTTCCTGTTGTAATAGTCTATGCACATATGTGTGAGCAAAAAAATGATCTGAAACTGGAACTGATATTTAAAGGGGAAATTTAATATCCAGGACAATTCCCAGTGGAGCTGCAGGAGCAGGACCCCTATCAGGACTACTAAATGGTGGAGCCACTGGCAATGTGCAAGCTCAGCTTGGAAAATCCATAGGTATTCAATTTTCACCCATGAGAGCAGCTATATGGGTTATGTTCAGCAAAGCCAAGGATGTGGGGCTGCAAATGGCATTGTGAGCCCACCACTTGAACCAGTGTGCTCAGGATTCAAGATATAGGGTCAAAGGAGATTATTTTAGAGCTTTAAATTTTAACATCTTCCATGATGAGTTTCAGCTTTGTGAGGACACTGCATTCATTTCTTTTGGCCCATTTATTCCTTTTAGAATGGAAATGTATAAGAAATGTCTCTTCCACTCTTGTATTAATATTTTAGAAGTAAATAACCTTTTTAAAACTTTACAGGCTCACAGCTATAGGGACTTACCTTGAGTCTCAGATGAGACTTTGGAATTTTGAGTTGATGCTGGAACAACCTAGCACATTTGGGACAATTGGGAAATTATCATATTTTGCAATGGGAGAAAAACATGAGCTCTGGCTGGCTAGGGACAGAATGTAATGATATAAATATTTACCCCCTGATACCTCATGTTAAAATCTGACCCCCAGTGTTGGACGTGGGGCCTAATGGGTGCTGTTTGGGTCATGGGGGCCAATCTTTTATGAATAAAGAGATCCTGTCCTCTCTCGCAAGTGAATGAATTGTTACTCTTTTAGTTTCCAAGAGAGCCAGTTGTTAAAAAGAGCCTGGCAACTTCCTAAGCTCTCTGTTCCTCTCTTACCGTGTGATCTCTGCACATACCAGCTCCCCTTTGCCTTCTGCCATGAGTGGGAGCAGCCTGAGGCCCTCACCAAATGCTCAAACATTTCCAGACATCAGAATCCCAAGCCACATGAACCTTGTTTATATAAATTAGTCAGTCTCTGACATTTCTTTATAGCAACACAAAATGGAATAAGACAGCGCTCTCATCACAGGTATGTGTCTCTGGCAGTCAGCCCCCATTCTCAAGATATCCAGGGTCCGCTCAGCCATGAGTCCTCTCATCAATATTCTAACTCTTATCACTCAAGAGATTCTAAGGTTTTTAGGAGAAACCAGGGACAAAGACTAAATGTTTTTGTTATACCTCAGATTACCCGCTTTTCTTTGACCACATATCTTTTATAGGAAAAGGATTATAAAAGTAAAGAGGTATTGGCGTATTATCAGAGTCTCATTCAGTCATTCAAAATTAGAACAGTTCACCATCCTCTCGTATGAATATGTCTCCCAGAATGAAGTCACTCAGGTTTGCAGACACCACTCAACCTTACCAGGCTCCAAAAACAAGAATGGTCTCAAGGACATATGGCTTCACTCTTTTAGGCACCCAGTATAATTGACCTAAGAGACAATATCTTCTCTTGCTCACAGCACTTTTGAGGAGTTAAGCTAATATTGAATTTTCCTCATTATATAACCCTTTGATTTAGTCACTTACCCTCAGCCATTATTCCTCCTTCTGTCCCTTTATATCAGTCTTTTCCAGTTTTAGAGGTGACATCAGGTTTGTCTGCTGTGCTGACCTAGACTGCAGGCAGCAATAGTATTCTAGCATGCCTTCCCTCGGTCTACTCTTGGTCATAGAGGGTAGGTTATGTAGGTAAGGAACTAGTGGGGGCCATCTGACCACCAGGCTATATAGCTCTATTTACTGTTAATCCTGACTTTGCCAGATGAAATGAAGGCATAGCACCATCTTTGAGTTGCTTGGGAATTCTTATATAAAGATGTAAATATATAGTTATGGTTTTTGGCTTAAAGATAATTCCTGTTTCTGGCACTTTGATTTTCATCCCTATTCCTGGTACCACTGCATCACATATGAAAAAAGAAATTTGAGGTGAAGCGTAGTCATTATTCCAGCATCCTCTCCCCTTCAGAAGAATTGTATGTATAGTCATAACAGCATCGTCCTGATCCATCAGGTAAAAGAGAGGAAGCTATCTAGAGGAGTCACTCTTGCAGCCCCACCCATGTGGACAGTGAGCACATTCATGAAGATGTAAAAGCCAGTCCTTCATGTTTATATTGCCCAACAACTATATTGCCAGTTTTTAGACAAACAATGCTTCAACTGACCATTTCAATTTTCTATCAAAGTTTTCTTCTGAGGAGGACATCTCCCTGTGCATTGTTAGCCATTTGAGGCTGTAAAGTGTGTTTTCTTGCGTAAAGAAATGGGACTCAGCAGTCCACATTGGTGCAATCTCTTTTTTTCTGGTGATTTCATAGCCCTTGAAGCATTGACCTCTTCCCCTGGTTGAGCATAGCCCAATCCAGAGTCAGTGACTTTCCTGTCAAGATCCCTTGGCAGCTCCTTTGGGGTTGCTGCCATCAGTCTGGCTTGCCAGCCATGTATGATCAAAGCCTTCCCACTAGAGAATCACATAGCCATCTGCTGCCTCTGTCTGTTTTCTTGACCAACAGTCAAAACAGAGATGATAAGAAATGAGATAAATTACCAAAATTGTGAACAAAAGAGAGATTATCACTAGTGACCCTTTAGAAATTCAAAAGCATTATAAGTGAAGACTCTGAAAAACCTGAAGTCAATAAGTTAGACCACTTAGATAAAATGGACAGATTCATACAAAGATAGAAATTGCCAAAACTGACTCAAAAATAACTAGAAAACCTGAAATAAGGAAAAACAAAAAATAATAATGTATTGCTTGCTGTTTTATCTGGCCTAAAAAGCCCATTTGTCAGCCTTCAGTCCTTTGGCCTAAGTTTAGCTCAAATAAGGACTGTATATGCCAAGCTTTAATTCTCTATGTGAATGATAAAACCCCATCTTCACAAGAGGAGATGGGTTATGCTGTTTGTTGGATTAGTGAATTAAGCCCCGTGTTCCCCCTTAAAGAGAAATAAAAAGAGCATAGTAAAGAGCCCTCACCCAGTGAAAAGCCCTGGGATCCCCTAACACGCTTGCCCTACACCCTATACATCTCACAAAGTAGAGGACAGGGAGATCAGGGGGCAAAAGGAAGGTCAGAGGAAAAGGATTTGGGAGGTCATGAAGGAGCTAAACCCAATGCTCCCTTAAATCCTTATCCAAACTTGAGGAAAGAATTAGAACAATGTAAGGAAGGACAAACCTGATAAAAACAAGCAATGGGGAAAGGATTCCCGATTTAATAAATGGTGTTGGGAAAACTGGCTAGCCATATGCAGAAAACTGAAACTGGACCCCCTCCTTACACCTTATACAAAAATCAACTCAAGATGGATTAAAGACTTAAACATAAGACCTAAAACTGTAAAAACCCTAGAAGAAAACCTAGGCAATACCATTCAGGACCTAGGCATGGGCGAAGACTTCATGACTAAAACACAAAAAGCAATGGCAACGAAAGCCAGAATTGACTAATGGGATCTAATTAAACTCAAGAGCTTCTGCACAGCAAAAGAAACTATCATCAGAGTGAACAGGCCACCTATGGAATGGGAGAAAATTTTTGCAATCTGTCCATCTGACAAAGGGCTAATATCCAGAATCTACAAAGAACTTAATTTACATGAAAAAAACAAACAACTCCATCAAAAAGTGGGCGACGGATATGAAAAGACACTTCTCAAAAGAAGACATTTATGTAGTCAACAAACATATGAAAAAAGGCCCATAGTCACTTATCATTAGAGAAATGCAAATCAAAACCACAATGAGATACCATCTCACACCAATTAGAATGGCGATCATTAAAAAGTCAGGAAACAACAGATGCTGGAGAGGATGTGGAGAAATAGGAACGCTTTTACACTGTTGGTCGGAGTGTAAATTAGTTCAACCATCGTGGAAGATAATGTGGCAATTCCTCAAGGATCTAGAACCAGAAATACCATTTGACCCAGCAATCCCACAATCCCACTACTGGATATATACCCAAAGGATTATAAACATTTTACTATAAAGATACATACACACATATGTTTATTGCGGCACTGTTCACAATAGCAAAGACTTGGAACCAATCCAAATGCCCATCAATGATAGACTGAATAAAGAAAATGTGGCACATATACACCATGGAATACTATGCAGCCATAAAAAGGATGAGTTCATGTCCTTTGCAGGGACATGGATGAAGCTGGAAACCATCATTCTCAGGAAACCATCAGCTACGTGTTCTCTGGGTCTCTCAGAGAAAGACCCACAAGAACAGAAAACCAAACACTGCATGTTCTCACTCAAATGGGAGTTGAACAATGAGAACACATGGACACAGGGAGGGGAACATCACACACTGGGGCCTGTCTGAGGGTAGGGGGCTAGGGGAGGGATAGCATTAGGAGAAATACCTAATGTAGATGATGAGTTGATGGGTGCAGCAAACCACCATGGCACATGTATACCTATGTAACAAACCTGCATGTTCTGCACGTGTATCCCAGAGTTTAAAGTATAATAATGTTAATAATAATAAATTGGATTTGTAAGTGTGCCTTTAACAAGTACTGAGGTTAGGAATTTTAAAAAGGAAATGAGGCCACTCTCGGAAGATCCCCTCAGTTTAGCAGAACAGCTAGATCAATTTTTAGAACCTAATTTTTATACTTGGGCTGAGATAATTCAATCATGAATATTCTGTTTACTGGGAAAAAGACGGGAATAATTAGAAGGGCAGCCATAATCATTTGGGAGAGACAGCAGCATCCTCCTGGGTAATGAGTCCTGCCAGCTAAGCAGAAATTCCCAAATGCAGATCCTGGATGGGATAATAATGACCCCAGGGATCGGGTCCAAATGCAAGACCATAGGGAGCTAATAATTAGAGGGATTATGCAGTCCACTCATAGGACACAAAACGTCCCCAAAGCATTCAAGATCCAACAACAAGAAGAGGAGACTCCCTCTGCATTTCTGCAGAGGCTCAGGGATCAAGTGAAAAAATATTCAGGATTAAATCCAGAGGACCCAGTAGGGCAAGGCCTTTTAAAGGTTAATTTTGTAACTAAAAGCTGATGTAATATTACTAAGAAACTGCAAAAGATTAACGGATGGAATAAAAAACCAATTAAGGAAATACTGAGGGAAGCTCAGAAAGTTTGTGTGTGTGTGTGAGAGAAAGAGAGAGAGAGAGAGTTAAGCTGCTATACCTGAAGGAAGAGAGAGCCAGCGGCACAGCTGTGTGTGGCAGCTGGCTTCTAAAAGCTGTTGATAAAGGTTACTGCTGAGTCATTTCCGCAGAGCTGCCTGTTTTTGCAGACAGACAAGGGGAGCCAGGGCACAGCACGGCTCGGCTCATGCCCAGAGAAAGAGGAAGAAGCTGAGTGTGAGACAGAAAGGAAATGGGATGACAGAGAGAGAATAGAAGAGGAAAATTAGCAAGAGAGACTAAAAGAGACAGAGATCAAAGAGAAACACAGAAGGTAAAACTGGGGAGACAAATAATGTAAAAGGAAAAAAGAGTACAAGACAAAGTGAGAGAATGCTGAGAGGTTGGCAGGGCTGGGGGAAGTTTCTGGGGACTTAAGCAACAAGGAGGTGCAGGGGAAGGGTGCATGCAGTGCGTGGCCACTGAGGAACGACAAAACCCGGGAACTGGGGGATGGATGCAAGTGAGAAAGGGATGTGGAGGAGAGTTTAGGATCAGGCTGCTTGAGGTGTAACGGGTTGCCTACAGCAAAAACTAGATGGCTGTTTATCAGGAGGTGGTCAAAAGGATTCAAGTTATGGAAGAGTAAATGAATAAGATAACATTAAGGTTTTGTTGTTTTAGTGAGAGGCTGGAAGGCCACCAGGGGCAGTTAGCTGTCAGTAAGGCAGCAGAAGGGCTGGGGTCGCTACATAAGGAAAATCAGTACTAGGGTTGTAAACTCAAATGACTACAGGGCCAGCAAATAATAAAAAGGAGGGCTGCAGGGCTGGGTGGGAACTGTGGCGGCTGCTCAGCTCTTCTTACAGTGCTGGCACTGTGTTGCCAGATTGTCTGCTTTGTCAGAGGACAAAATTCTGACTTTTTATGTAAAATATAATTTTAAAATGCTGATATTCTGTTCAAATAACTTAAAAACCCAAAACAGGCAAAAGAGGATGCCAGTTTGCAATCCCTGAAGTAGAGAGAGCTCGTGCTGGGGAAAAGTCTGCCAAAATGCTTTAAGGTGGAATGTGTAAAAGTTCTGTTTCCCAGAGTCGGGCTGGGCCAGGGGAGGATCCTTGCAGCCCAGGAGGAGGAAAAGCCACTAAGTCCCCTCCCAGGGCTGGACAAACTGGAGACCCTTTACAGTTGCTGGGTCACCAGTGGGGGTTGCTTGAAACACAAACAGTGCACCTCTAGGCCTGCCACGGAGAGGAACGGTGCCTTTGAAGCACAAAAAAAAAAAAAAAACAGGAAGGGAGGGCGGAGCCAGAAATGCCTTTTCTAATGAGAGTACCCATCAGGGAAGGCTCCATAGGCTGGCAGATCTTCAAACCAGCAGCTCTTGGCCCAAAGCCAAACCCAGCAGGGCCCGGCC